>NC_000002.12:32103378-32256129 GCF_000001405.40 Homo sapiens | reverse complement strand
CTAATTACTTGATAAGGAAGGAGTATGATGGTCTACATACAAGGAGATATAACATAGTAAAATAATATCTTACTGTTTATATATATATTTTTTTTTGTAAATTTTTTTTTTTGTGTGAGATGGAGTCTCGCTCTGTAGCCCAGGCTGGAGTGCAGTGGTGTGATCTTGGCTCACTGCAACCTCCACCTCCTGGGTTCAAGCGATGCTTCTGCCTCAGCCTCCTGAGTAGCTGGGACCACAGGCGCGTGCCACCATGCCCAGCTAATTTTTTGTATTTTTAGTAGAGACGAGGTTTCACCATATTAGCCAGGATGATCTCGATCTCCTGACCTCGTGATCCACCCGCCTCGGCCTCCCAAAATGCTGGGATTACAGGTGTGAGCCACCACGCCTAGCCACTTTTCCAATTTTAAGACATTTTTGGGTATGAGAGTTATGTGACTTATTCAATATAATGAGTCTTTTAAATAATTAGAGTATTTTAAATAACGTGTCTTCATTTTATAGGTGAAGAAAGGTAGTCTCAGGAAGGCTAGGCTGTGAACTTGTGTGTGTGTGGGTCTCTAAGCCTTTCTGAGGCTGTATTTCTTATTTTTTTTTTTTTTTTTTGAGACGGAGTTTTGCTCTTGTTGCCCAGGCTGGAGTGCAATGGCGCCATCTGGGCTCACCGCAACCTCTGCTTCCCAGGTTCAAGTGATTCGCCTGCCTCAGCCTCCCGAGTAGCTGGGATTACAGGCATGTGCCACCACGACTGGCTAATTTTGTATTTTTAGTAGAGACAGGGTTTCTCCATGTTGGTCAGGCTAGTCTCGAACTCCCGACCTCAGATAATCCGCCCACCTCAGCCTTCCAAAGTGCTGGGATTACAGGTGTGAGCCACTGCGCCCGGGTGAGGCTGTATTTCTTTAGCTCTAAACTGAAGATCACAATGGGACACAGACTTAGAGGTTACTTCCATAGGGATGATGTGGAAGCTAGAGAACAGATGAGACCCCAGAAGGAGAGAGATGGGACTCTTGCAGGACATGTAGACAGGGAATATTCTAGCTGAGGTCAGCAGCAGAGCTCTGCAATGGTGAGAAAGGACGGCTGGGGTGGGGTCCTGGTGCTTGGAGTGATTGATGGTGCATTTCAGGCCAGAGAGGTTCTGGGGTCTTTGAGAGGAGTGCATTCCCTCTCTGATCAGTCAACACAGGTTTGAAAGCCAGGAGCGGCCAGGTGCGGTGGCTCATGCCTGTAATCCTAGCACTTTGGGAAGCTGAGACGGGCAGATCACCTGAGGTCGGGAGTTCGAGACCAGCCTGACCAACATAGAGAAATCTCATCTCTACTAAAAATACAAAATTAGCTGGGTGTGGTGGCGCATGCCTGTAATCCCAGCTGCTTGGGAGGCCGAGGCAGGGGAATTGCTTGAACCTGGCAGGCAGAGGTTGTGGTGAGCTGAGATCGCGCCATTGCACTCCAGCCTGGGCAGCAACAGTGAAACTTCGTCTGAAAAAAAAAAAAAAAAAAAAAACCAGGAGCAGCCTAGCCCAGGAAGAAATCTAGTGCAGACGGTGTCTGAGAGTTAAAAACCAGGAAGACATTTCTCCAAGCTGTCACAAACATAGCGTGGGTACAGTGCCTGGGTACGGTGTGGTCTACGTTTCAGAATTAGACCTTGCAGAGTCAGACACAAAAAGGACACAGCTACCCTCAAGACCTGGCGAGAGAGCTTACATTGGATAAAAACCAGTGTTTTGATGTGATACTCTTCAGAAAAGACCAAAGTCTGTGGAGATACAATGTGCTCTTTGTCTGGTGACACCTGAATAAAGGCTAAAAATAGTAGCTAACATATATTGAGTTATTACTTTGTATGAGATACTATACATGAATTATTGTAACAACTTCCTAAGTTAAATAATGCTCTTGACACCATTGTACAGATGAGGAATCCCCAGTGTGCTGGAGCTGGTTGTTACTGTGATGTGAAACCTGATTATTGAATTTTCAGGATTTTTGTTAGCCAGTTAACATACGCTGTTAGCTTGAAATAGGCCATGGTAGGAATATTTATACCTTGGGGATTGGTGAATGCTACAAATTAGGGCCTTTACTCCCAGAGGGCCAGGGCCAGTTTGTGAAACATTTAGCAGCACGTACTTTTTTTTTTTTTTTTTTTTGAGACAGAGTTTTGCTCTTGTTGCCCAGGCTGGAGTGCAATGGCACCATCTCGGCTCACCGCAACCTCCACCTCCCAGGTTCAAGCGATTCTCCTGCCTCAGCCTCCTGAGTAGCTGCCACTACAGGCATGCACCACCACACCTGGCTAATTTTGCATTTTTAGTAGAGACAAGGTTTCTCCATGTTGGTCAGGCTGGTCTCGAACTCCCGACCTCTGGTGATCCGCCCGCCTTGGCCTCCCAAAGTGCTGGGGTTACAGGTGTGAGCCACCGCACCCGGCCAGCAGCACGTAATTGAAATAGACTCAAAGAGGCTTAGTGACTTGCCAAGGTCACATAGATGGTAGCAAGTGGCAGATCCTAGGCCATTGCCATTATTCTAAAGCCAACGGTCTTACAACTACAACCTCACTGGGGACTGCTTTATATCAGAGGGACAAGATAACTCACCTTACTTCTTCACCAAAGCAAAACATCTTGCTCATCAATAACTCTGGGGTTAGAAATGCTTTGCAGAGGCCGGGCACGGTGGCTCACGCCTGTAATCCCAGCACTTTGGGAAGCCAAGGCAGGTGGATCACAAGGTCAGGAGTTCGAGACCAGTCTGACCAAAATGGTGAAACCCCGTCTCTACAAATAATAGAAAAATTAGCTGAGTGTGGTGGTGCGTGCCTGTAATCCCAGCTACTCAGGAGGCGGAGGCAGGAGAATTGCTTGAACCCAGGAGGCAGAGCTTGCAGTGAGCCGAGATCGCGTCACTGCACTCCAGCCTGGGTGACACAGCAAGACTCCGTCTCAGAAAAAAAATGCTTGGCAGAGCATTTCTTGAAGGCCTGGAATTCAGGCATTTGGCATCTCCATAACTCAGGAGATGCTCACAGGAAAAAAATGCATGGCCCTAATGCTCTGGAGACAGATGCTGATATGCATATTTAATTTTTTTTTTTTAGACGGAGTCTCGCTCTTTCGCCCAGGCCGGAGTGCAGTGGCGCTATCTCAGCTCACTGCAAGCTCCGCCTCCTGGGTTCACGCCATTCTCCTGCCTCAGCCTCCCAAGTAGCTGGGACTACAGGCGCCCGCCACCACGCCCGGCTAATTTTTTGTATTTTTAGTAGAGACAGGGTTTCACTGTGTTAGCCAGGATGGTCTCGATCTCCTGACCTCGTGATCTGCCCGCCTCGGCCTCCCAAAGTGCTGGGATTACAGGCGTGAGCCACCGTGCCCAGCCGGATATGCACATTTTATATAAGTAAATAAATATGTATATTTCTCCCCATCTCCTCAGTGAATTTCATAAAGGACAATAGCCGAGCCCTTATTCAAAGAATGGGAATGACTGTTATAAAGCAAATCACAGATGACCTATTTGTATGGAATGTTCTGAATCGCGAAGAAGTAAACATCATTTGCTGCGAGAAGGTGGAGCAGGATGCTGCTAGAGGGATCATTCACATGATTTTGAAAAAGGGTTCAGAGTCCTGTAACCTCTTTCTTAAATCCCTTAAGGAGTGGAACTATCCTCTATTTCAGGACTTGAATGGACAAAGTAAGTATCAGTTAGTTTTGCATCTGTTTCTGCAAGTAGAATAGACCACAACAAAGATCCATCTTCCCCATGGCAGAGCCTCTGCTTTTCCTTCTCTTCATATCACCTGGCAGTGGCCTTTGATACCTGCTAAGGAAAAGCTTAGATGATTTTAGGAAAAACTCATAGTAGATCAATTGATGGTGAAGCCAAACAAATAACCCCAAGGCCAGGAAATAAATGATTGAGTATTGTCTCACTGCAAGATAAAACTGGAGAATAAGTGCACTAGTTAAGCTTCCAGTGCAGCAGTGGTTCTCAGCATTCCCTGGTTGGATGAGATCTACCTATGGGAGAGAGGCCCAGCTGACTACCTACTCCATGTCCAGGCCTCCTGGTAAAGACAGCCTGACTGACACAGAACCATGATTCTATGTTTCATAAAATATTGTTTTTATTTTTTTAATTAGTAAATAAGGTCATGACAGATTTTACTCAGAGTGAAGGCCTACTATGATGACAATTATCCCTAACCATCTTTCTCTGCCAAATTCTTTACTTTCCTTAACCCAAAAACAAGCTCCTCCCTTTTCCAACCAGCTGCTATAAGATTTGGTTGTGGAAAGGAGGAAACAGAAAGCAAAAAGGGGAGTGGGGTAAAGGATGCTGGGGAAAGGGGGAGCAGACAGAACCCTTTGTGCCAGCTCAGAACTGGGAAAGGACATTACATTCACCAATGGCAGATTCTCAGCCTCACCCCCCCGTTCATCCTCCTGAACTCTAGGTTTTGAGGAGACACAGAATTGGGTCTTCTTTAACATCACCTCTTCTCTAATAGGTCTTTTTCATCAGACATCAGAAGGAGACTTGGACGATTTGGCTCAGGATTTAAAGGACTTGTACCATACCCCATCTTTTCTGAACTTTTATCCCCTTGGTGAAGATATTGACATTATTTTTAACTTGAAAAGCACCTTCACAGAACCTGTCCTGTGGAGGAAGGACCAACACCATCACCGCGTGGAGCAGCTGACCCTGAATGGCCTCCTGCAGGCTCTTCAGAGCCCCTGCATCATTGAAGGGGAATCTGGCAAAGGCAAGTCCACTCTGCTGCAGCGAATTGCCATGCTCTGGGGCTCCGGAAAGTGCAAGGCTCTGACCAAGTTCAAATTCGTCTTCTTCCTCCGTCTCAGCAGGGCCCAGGGTGGACTTTTTGAAACCCTCTGTGATCAACTCCTGGATATACCTGGCACAATCAGGAAGCAGACATTCATGGCCATGCTGCTGAAGCTGCGGCAGAGGGTTCTTTTCCTTCTTGATGGCTACAATGAATTCAAGCCCCAGAACTGCCCAGAAATCGAAGCCCTGATAAAGGAAAACCACCGCTTCAAGAACATGGTCATCGTCACCACTACCACTGAGTGCCTGAGGCACATACGGCAGTTTGGTGCCCTGACTGCTGAGGTGGGGGATATGACAGAAGACAGCGCCCAGGCTCTCATCCGAGAAGTGCTGATCAAGGAGCTTGCTGAAGGCTTGTTGCTCCAAATTCAGAAATCCAGGTGCTTGAGGAATCTCATGAAGACCCCTCTCTTTGTGGTCATCACTTGTGCAATCCAGATGGGTGAAAGTGAGTTCCACTCTCACACACAAACAACGCTGTTCCATACCTTCTATGATCTGTTGATACAGAAAAACAAACACAAACATAAAGGTGTGGCTGCAAGTGACTTCATTCGGAGCCTGGACCACTGTGGAGACCTAGCTCTGGAGGGTGTGTTCTCCCACAAGTTTGATTTCGAACTGCAGGATGTGTCCAGCGTGAATGAGGATGTCCTGCTGACAACTGGGCTCCTCTGTAAATATACAGCTCAAAGGTTCAAGCCAAAGTATAAATTCTTTCACAAGTCATTCCAGGAGTACACAGCAGGACGAAGACTCAGCAGTTTATTGACGTCTCATGAGCCAGAGGAGGTGACCAAGGGGAATGGTTACTTGCAGAAAATGGTTTCCATTTCGGACATTACATCCACTTATAGCAGCCTGCTCCGGTACACCTGTGGGTCATCTGTGGAAGCCACCAGGGCTGTTATGAAGCACCTCGCAGCAGTGTATCAACACGGCTGCCTTCTCGGACTTTCCATCGCCAAGAGGCCTCTCTGGAGACAGGAATCTTTGCAAAGTGTGAAAAACACCACTGAGCAAGAAATTCTGAAAGCCATAAACATCAATTCCTTTGTAGAGTGTGGCATCCATTTATATCAAGAGAGTACATCCAAATCAGCCCTGAGCCAAGAATTTGAAGCTTTCTTTCAAGGTAAAAGCTTATATATCAACTCAGGGAACATCCCCGATTACTTATTTGACTTCTTTGAACATTTGCCCAATTGTGCAAGTGCCCTGGACTTCATTAAACTGGACTTTTATGGGGGAGCTATGGCTTCATGGGAAAAGGCTGCAGAAGACACAGGTGGAATCCACATGGAAGAGGCCCCAGAAACCTACATTCCCAGCAGGGCTGTATCTTTGTTCTTCAACTGGAAGCAGGAATTCAGGACTCTGGAGGTCACACTCCGGGATTTCAGCAAGTTGAATAAGCAAGATATCAGATATCTGGGGAAAATATTCAGCTCTGCCACAAGCCTCAGGCTGCAAATAAAGAGATGTGCTGGTGTGGCTGGAAGCCTCAGTTTGGTCCTCAGCACCTGTAAGAACATTTATTCTCTCATGGTGGAAGCCAGTCCCCTCACCATAGAAGATGAGAGGCACATCACATCTGTAACAAACCTGAAAACCTTGAGTATTCATGACCTACAGAATCAACGGCTGCCGGGTATTGTAAATATCAGTGGTTTGTGCTTTGTTCACTTAAAAAAAAATAACAGTGTATAAATTTGGAAAAGGAGAGAGGAGACTTTATTTCTTCTAAAGGGTTACAGCCTGCAAGGTGGCCATCCCACAGGCTGAGAAACATGCCTCCAACCAAGACCAGAGACAGGCACCTCGAAGGAGGGGTTGGGGTAGACACTTTATGTTGAATGGGTTGGCTAAACATACATATTCAACAGATTACAGGAGGAGCTATGAATATTCATGAAGGTGGTCTTGATACATGCATATTGAATAAACATGCATGTAACATACAACCCATGTTCACTTTGGGGTGGAGATTTAGCATTAAATCAAGCTTATCCAACCTGCAGTCCGTGGGCTGCACATAGCCCAAGACGGCTTTGAATGTGGCCCAGCACAAATTCATTTTTGTGTAGCCCAAGACAATTCTTCCAATGTGGCCCAGGGAAACCAAAAGATTGTACACCCCTTTAAATGATTTAAATGTATTACAATTAGGCCTATACTTCAGAAGTTCTTTTCAGAGCACAAAGGTAAGCAGGTACGCAATCTCTGTAAACCAGCCAGAACCAGTCTGTGGTTGGTGGTCCTCTGATCAGGAGAAAGTTACTGAAATCACTCTCTTCTCCAATCAAAGCTGTAGTTATGGCAGATGGAACAGGGATTGTTAGCATTTGTGAGCTGGATGAGTTGCGAATTGTTTAATATTCACAACTATCAATATTGCTTATCTTGAGACCAATGCTTGTTTAGCTACCAAAGAAGAAAAATCTGTGGCAGTTACGACAGAGTTTATTCTTTTTAAATTTTTTTTTTTTTTCGAGGTTGGGTCTTGCTCTGTCACCCAGGTGGGAGTGCAGTGGTGCGATCACAGCTCATTGCAGCCTCAACCTCCTGGGCTCAGTTGATCCTCATTGTTTGATTTTTTATGGGGAGATGAGGTCTCACTATGTTTCCCAGGCTGGTCTTGAACTCCTGGGATCAAGCAGTTCTACTGCCTCCACCTTCCAAACTGTTGGGATTACAGGCGTGAGCCACCACGCCCAGCCTAGGACAGTTTATTCTTTAAGCGTAGAGCTGAATGACTTAGCCTTTGCCTGGCATGGTCTTATGTCCTCTTTATAACTTGGTAATTTATTGCCACAAAAAGTCTGTTCTGTTAGTCTTATGATCTCTATGTCAACAGTAATGCTGATGAGTTGTGTTCAAACCATACAAGAGAGGGAGTATAATGATGTGTGTTTGACCTCCCATCCTGTCATGGCCAGGAACTGAGTTTAAGGTTTTTTTCTGGGGTCTCCTTAGCCCAGAGGGGATGCATTCAGTTGGTGGGGGGCTTAGGATTTTTAGTTTACAGCTATAATCAAGACTGGCTGGAAATATTAGCCAGGAATACTGTGAAAATGTTAGATATATAGTTTTGCTTTATTATTTATTATTTATTTTTATAGATATAGGGGGTACAAGTGCAGTTTTGTTATATCGATATATTTCGTGGTGGTGAAATCTGAGCTTTTAGTGTAACCACCATTATCAGATTATTTCTCATCCCTTGCCTCCCTGTCACGCTCCCACCTTTCCAAGTCTCCATGTCTATTCTGCTTTCTATCTCCATGTGTACACATTATTTAGCTCCCACTTGTAAGTGAGTATATATGGTATTTGATTTTCTGTTTCTGAGTTATTTCACCTAAGATAATGGCCTCCGGTTCCATCAATGTTGCTGCAAAAGACATGATTTCATTTTTATTAGTTTTGTTTTAAATTTTCTAGTAGTTTCTACCAGGTGTCAGGACTTGAAAGGAAGGTAGAAGGGCTGTGGAGAGAGGTCTATGTTGGGGGAAAGCTGTTAGATTGGGAGCCATAGGGAAGATTCCCAGAGCTGTAGTCTGATTGGAAAGATATATATACACATACATACATAGATACATATATGTATGTGTTTAAATATATTAAAACTATTTTTATTAAAAATGTAAATATACTAAAAATATTTTTATTAAAAAATATATTGGAAGGCTGAGGCAGGTGGGTCACCTGAGGTTGGGAGTTCAAGACCAGCCTGACCAACATGGAGAAACCCCATCTCTACTAAAAATACAAAATTAGCCGGGCGTGGTGGCACATGCCTGTAGTCCCAGCTACTCGGGAGGCTGAGGCAGGAGAATCACTTGAACCTGGGAGGTGGAGGTTGCGGTGGGCCGAGATCACGCCATTGCACTCCAGCCTGGGCAACAAGAGTGAAACTCTGTCTAAAAAAAAAAAAAAAAATTAAAAAAAATAAATATATACGCAGGTTAAGCTTGTCTTCAGCAAATCCTTCTCCTGCGAGCACCCCCATCTCTACCCAATACCCAGTCCTTCCCTGCCAAGTGGCACCCTGCCCTACTTCAAGTCTTGGAGGAAATCCAACCTGTAAATTAATCACCTGCAGGAGCTAGGAGCTAATTGTGTTACAAGATTCTCATCTGGGAAATTGTAGAAGATACTCAGCTCCGTTCCCACCCTAACTGTTGTTTACTTGGTTGGGGCCAGGCCAGGTGACTCACACCTGTAATTCCAACACTTTGGGAGGCCAAGGCAGGAGGATTACTTGAGATCAGCCTGGACACAATAGGAAGACCCTGTCTCCAACAAAAATTAATCATCTGGGCGTGATGGTGCATGCCTGTAATCCCAGATACTCCAGAGGCTGAGGTGGGAGGATCACTTGAGCCCAGGAATTTTCAGGCTGCAGCAAGATATGATCATATCTGTGCCTGGGCAACACAGCAAGACCCTATCTCCAAAAAGAAAAGAAAAAGAAGAATGAATGACAGAAGATTTGGGGAATATTGTCTAACATGATGAAATTTCAGATTTTAGACTTCAGACACAGATATGCGAGGGCAATCTTTCTGGGTAACGGGGATACTTCCCCAAATTCCAAATAACACTAAAGGAGAATGTCTGCCCTACCTGTGTAGACCAGCCTGGTTGCCCCGAGCAGGAACTGCTATGTGGTGTGAAGCCATGGGAAGCAGGAATCTTGCTGTACTTAACTGTAGCAGTCTGGGGTTAGTTTTCAAACGCTAGCAATTTCCCACCCAGCTCTGCCTTGCTTGTCACCCTACAGAGAAATTTCCTATCATTTTAAGATTCTAGAATTTTTTGTACAGATAATCTTTGAAACCTCCTCCCTAATGAGGGAATCCCTTCTGTAAGATTCTGGGTGTCACGAAGACTGTATTAGACTACCTTCTGTGTCAGGAAGCTCACCATCTACTCATGACAACTATTCTTTTATACTGATCCTGTAAAGTGATCACCTATGTGCTGAATTTGGCCTATATGGTGTTTATAATTATTTTTTAATGTTTGCCATTTAAAAAAAGTATTTACTTTATTTAATTATTATTTTTTTGAGACAGGGTCTCACTCTGTCACCCAGGCTGGAGTGCAGTGGCACAATCTTGGCTCACTGCAACCTCCACCTCCCGGATTCAAGCAAGTCTCCGGCCTCAGAATCCCAAGTAGCTGGGATTACAGGCATGCACCACCACACCTGGCTAATTTTTGTATTTTTAGTACAGACGGGGTTTCACCATGTTGGCCAGGCTGGTTTCAAACTCCCAACCTCAGGTGATCCACCCGCCTCGGCCTCCCAAAGGGCTGGGATTACAGGTGTGAGCCACCACACCTGGCCCCAACCTGTTGATTTTTTAAAGGTATACATAACGATAGCCAACATTATTGAACACATACAGGTATTATTGAAGCAAATTTCGTGTATCAACTCATTTAGATGTCTTAACCCTATAAGGTAAATTTTTTCTATTTTTCATTTTTGTGGATACATAGTAGGTATATATATTTATGGGGTACATGAGATGCTTTGATCCAGGCATGCAATGTGTAATAATCACATCATGGAAAATGGAGTATCCATCCCTTCAACCATTTATGTTTTGTGTTAAGAACAATCCAGTTGTACTGTTAGTTATTTTAAATATACAGTTAACTTATTTTGACTTAGATACTATGTTGTGCTATCAAATACTAGATCTTATTTATCCCTTCTAAGTATTTTTTTGTATCCATTAACCATTTCCACCTCCTCCCTACTACCCTTCCCAGCCTCTGGTAACCATCCTTCTACTCTCCGTGAGTTCAATTGTTTTGATTTTTAGATCCTACAAATAAGTAAGAACACGTGATGTCTGTCTTTCTGTGCCTGGCTTATTTCACTTACCATAATGACCTCTATTCATCTGTTTTTTTTTTTTTTTTTTTTTTTGAGAAGGAGTCTCACTCTGTCGCCCAGGCTGGGGTGCAGTGGTGTGATCTCGGCTTACTGCAACCTCTGCCTCCCAGGTTCAAGTGATTCTCTTACCTCAGCCTCCTGAGTAGCTGGGATTACAGGCGCCCAATAACACGCCTGGCTAATTTTTGTATTTTTTAATAGAGACAGGGTTTCACCATGTTGACCAGGCTGGCCTTGAACTCCAGACCTCAAGTGATCCACCCACCTCGGCTACCCAAATTGCTGGGATTACAGGCATGAGCCACCGTGCCCGGTCTATAATCCCATTTTCTACATAATGCTCAGCCTCCTAAGTCGCTGGGACCACTGACATGTGCCACCACACCTCGCTACCTCACTAATTTTTTCTCTTCTCATTCTCCTCCTCTTCCTCCTCCTTCTCCTCCTCCTCCTCCTTCTTCCTCTCCCTTCCCCTCTCCTTCCCCCTCCCCCTCTCTCCCTCTCCTCCTCCTCCTCCTCCTTCTTTTTTGTAGAGAGGAGGTCTCTCTATGTTGCCAAGGCCAGTCTTGAACTCCTGGGCTCAAGTGATCCTCCCCATCAGTCTCGCAAACTGCTAGGATTATATGTATGAGCCACTGCACCCAGCCAGTTTTAGAAGGGTTTTTTTTGTGGGGTTTGCAGAAGGGGGTGTTGTAGATTCCTTGACATTTTTATCATAGACAATCATGTTATCTTCGAAAAGAATGATTTTAAATTCTTCCCTTCCAATCTGTATTCCTTTTATTTATTTTTTTTTTTTGCCTTATTTCACTAACTAGGACTTGTAGTACAATGTTGAATAGTGACATGAATTAACATCTTGCCTTGTTCCTGACCTTAGGGAGAAAGCATTCAGACTTTCACCTTTAAGTATAATGTTAAATGTAGTTTTCTTGTAGGTGTCTTTTATCAAGTTGCTGAGAATTTTTTTTTTTTGGTCATGAATAGGTGTTGGATTGTGCTAAAGATGTTTTCTGTATCCATTTATATGATCATGTCATTTTACATGGATGGATGTTGGATTGTTTTTATTAAATTATTTTTAGATTATTTTTGAGGCAGGGTCTTGTTCTGTCACCCAGGCTGGAGTGCAGTGGCGTGATCATAGCTCACTGTAGCCTTGACTTCCTGGGCTCAACAGATCCACCCACCTCAGCCTCCTGACTAGCTGGGACCATAAGTGTGAACTATCACATCTGGTTAATTTTTAAATTTTTTGTAGAGACGAGTTCTCGCTATGTTGCCCAGGCTGGTCTTGGACTCCTGTGCTCAAGAGATTTTCCCGCCTGGGCCTCCCGAAGTGCTGGGATTACAGGCGTGAGCCACCTAGCCTGGATGTTGGATTATGTCACATGTGTTTTCTGCATCAATTTATGGGATCACGTAGTTTTACTTTTAGACTGCCAATATAATGAATTATATGGATTGATTTCCACATATTGAGCATCCTGCATTCCCTATATGAAGCCCATTTGGAGGTGGTGTAATATTCTTTTTTTTTTTTTTTTTGAGATGGAATCTTGCTGTGTCACCAGGCTGAGTGCAATGATGCGATCTCGGCTCACTGCAACCGCCGCCTCCTGGGTTCAAGCAATTCTCCTGCCTCAGCCTCCCAAGTAGCTGGGACTACAGGCGCGCCACCACGCCCAGCTAATTTTTGTATTTTTAGTAGAGACAGGGTTTCACCATGTTGGCCAGGCTGGTCTCAAACTCCTGACCTTGTGATCCACCTGCCTCGGCCTCCCAAAGTGCTGGGATTACAAGTGTGAGCCACCACGCCTGCCGTAATATTCTTTTATGCATGACTGAATTCCATTTTCTATTTTGTTGAAGATTTTTGATTCTGTATTCATGAATGATATTGGTCTAAAGTTTAATTTTCTTTCTTTCTTTTCGAGATGGGGTCTCACTCTGTCACCAGGGCTGGAGTGCAGTGGTGCGATCTCAGCTCACTGCAACCTCTGCCTCCTGGGTTCAAGCGATTCTCCTGCCTCAGCCTCTGGACTAGCTGGGATTACAGGCGCCTGCCACTACACCCAGCTGATTTTTTGTATTTTTAGTAGAGACGGAGTTTCACCATGTTGGCCAGGCTGGTGTCAAACTCCTGACCTCGTGATTTGCCTGCCTCGCCCTCCCAAAGTGCTGGGATTACAGGTGTGAGCCACCTCGCCCAGCCTCAATTTTCTTTCTTTTCTTTTCCGTCCTTCCCTCCCTCCTTTCTTTCTCTATTCTCTCTCTCTCTCTCTTTCTTTCATTAAAGACATTGTCTCATTCTGTCACCAAGGCTGGAGTGCAGTGGTGTCATCACACTTCATTGCAATCTTGAACTCCTGGGCTCAAGCGATTCTCTTGCCTCAGCCTCCTGAGTAGCCAGGACTACTCACACCTGCCACCACACCTGGGTAATTTAAAAAATATTTTGTAGGGATAGGGTCTGGATATATTGCCCAGGCTGGTCTCAAACTCCTGGCCTCAAGTGATCCTCCTACCTCTGCCCCCCAAAGCACGGGGATTATAGGAGTGAGCCACTGTGCCTGGCCTAAAAGTTTTTCTTCTACGTCTTTTTCTGGTTTTCATATCAAGTTAATGATGGCTTCATAA
Source organism: Homo sapiens (assembly GCF_000001405.40). Lineage (NCBI taxonomy): Eukaryota > Metazoa > Chordata > Mammalia > Primates > Hominidae > Homo > Homo sapiens. The sequence continues at coordinate 32,242,703 of NC_000002.12, read as the reverse complement.
AATGAGTTGGGAATTATTCTTTGTACTTCTATTTTCTGGAAGTGACTGTGTAGAATTGGTGTTATTTCTTCTTTAAATGTGTGGTAGATATGAAGACAGTTGATAGAAGGAAAAAAATGAAAATGTGTGGCAGAATTTGCAAGTGAACATATCTGTGCCTACAGATGTCTTTTCCGGGAAATTTTAGATAACAAATTCAATTTCTTTAATAGCTATAAGGTTATTCCGGTTACCTACTCCGTATCACATGAGTGTTGGTAGTTTGTGGTTTTCAAAAAATTGGTCAATTTCATATATGTTGTCAAATTTATGTGCATAGATTTGTTTATATTATTCTCTAATTGTCCTTTTAATATCTGCAGTGTGTGTAGTGATATCCCCTTTTTTGTTTCTGATATTGGTAATTTTTGTCTTCTTTTTCTTTGTCAGTCTTGGTAGAAATTTTTAAATTTTATTGATCTTTTCAAAGATCCAACTTTTAGCTTCATTGATTTTTTTCTATTGTTTACCTGTTTATAATTTTGATTTCTGGGCTGGGCATGGTGGCTCACGCCTGTAATCCTAGCACTTTGGGAGGCTGAGGCCAAAGGATCACTTGTGCTCAGGAGTCCGAGACCAGCCTGGGCAACATAGTGAGACCTTGCCTCTGTTTTTAATTTGTATAATAAAGGCATAATAACTTTGATTTGCACCCTTATCTTTATTATTTTCTTTCTTCTTTCATTTATTTTGCTCTCTTTTCTGTAATTTCTTAAGTAGTATGCCTAGGTTGTTGATTTGAGGCCTTTCCTCATTTCTAATATAAGTATGCAATACTGTAAATGTCCCTGTAAGCACTGTGTTAGCTGCAGATTTTTTTTTCTTTTCACCCCTTTGTGAGGAGAGAGCTGCAGATTTTGAAGTTTTGTTTTTATTTTTATATTTTTCAAAATATTATCAAAGTTTCCATGAGACTTCTTCTTTAATGCATGATTATTTAAAAATGTGTTGTTTAATTTCCAAGTGTTTAGAAATTTCCCTGTTATCGGCCAGGCGCAGTGGCTCACGCCTGTAATCCCAGCACTTCGGGAGGCCGAGGCAGGCGGATCACGAGGTCAGGAGATTGAGACCATCCTGGCTAACATGGTGAAACCCCGTCTCTACTAAAAATACAAAAAAAATTAGCCGGGCGTGGTGGCAGGTGCCTGTAGTCCCAGCTACTTGGGAGGCTGAGGCAGGAGAATGGTGTGAACCCGGGAGGTGGAGCTGGCAGTGAGCTGAGATTGCGCCACTGCACTCTAGCCTGGGCGACAGAGCAAGACTCTGTCTCAAAAAAAAAAAAAAAAAAAAAAAAAGGAAATTTTTTTCCCTGTTATCTGGGAAATTGGTATCTAGTCTATTATTTGCAGAACATGCTTACAGTGAAGTATAATGCCCATCTCTTATAAAAAGTATATTTTTATGTCTATTTCATGAGCATTTTTGGCTCATGATGATCATTAAAATCTTTTGATTGGTAACAAAAATGACAGTAATAGTAAATGACATAGTAAATAGCAAATATCTGCTGAAAGAGTCCAATCTTTTTTCTTTTGACAGGTGGTCTGACTGACAGCTTGGGTAACTTGAAGAACCTTACAAAGCTCATAATGGATAACATAAAGATGAATGAAGAAGATGCTATAAAACTAGGTCAGATTTCTGTTCTCATATTTGTATCAATGTAAGTTTGATAATAAGAGGAGTTAACTTCAGGCTCTGACATTGGCTGTGTCTGCACAAGGCAAGGATGTTTTTATGTACTTGTGGCTACATTGGTTTCCCCAGACATTTTCCCTACTGCCATTAAAATCCTTCAGCATCATTTTATTCAAATTGTACAACACCAGATGGTAACCCTTTTGGGAAGAGAGCCCCTGACGTGTTTTTAACTTCCGTCTCCCTGGCTCATTGGCTATGTTTTTATTTAATGCATAGAAACAATATTTTAAAGTTTATAGTATAGTTTCATAGTTGCATAGAAACAATATTTTAAAGTTTATACTATGGTTTCATAGTTAAAAAAATTCATAAATGAAATAGGACACAGGAAACAATGTGAATCAAGAAAACTTTGGGGGAAGCATGCTTTCATTCTACACTGCAGGTTGTGTTTCCCCAATCAAAAAAATGAAAAGGAAAAGGAAACTTCAGGAACACAAGCAGAACACATGGCTTACCACAGGGAACCAGGCCCTGCAGGCCAGGGAGGATTCCTGTTAAAGCTGCTTTCCTTGAATGTCCCTGTTTTCTCGTGTGTTGGATTTTTTTTTTTTTTTTTTTTGGCTCTTTTTTTCCCTACTTGAGTCCTCACTAAAATACTCCTCTCTTCCCTTCATCTTGTTCTTTCTTATTCTGCTTCCTGCCGAAAGACAACTCTAGCCTATAAGCCAAACATGGCTGAAGCCTGGGCATGGTGGATCACACCTGTAATTCCAGCACTCTGGGAGGCCGAGGCAGATGGATCACCTGAGTTCAGGAGTTCGAGACCAGCCTGGCCAACATGGTGAAACCCTGTCTCTACTAAAAATACAAAAATTAGCTGGGCATGGTGGTATGCACCTGTAATGCCAGCTACTTGGGAGGCTGAGGAAGGATAATCACTTGAACTCAGGAGGAGGAGGTTGTAGTGAGCCGAGATTGCTCCACTGCACTCCAGCCTCGGTGACAGAGATAGACTCCATCTTGAAACAAAAACAAAAACAAAAGCAAAACATGGCTGACTTCTTTTCCTTATATGTCCTACGTGAGAATAATCAAATTAATTCAGTGTTCAATAAACATTTATTGCATGTGTATAAATTACACAGAAAATCAGAGCTGGAAGGGGATTGAGAGCATCTAATTCAACTCATTCATTTCACAGAAAACTCCACTAGAACCTAAAATAGCTTATTGACTTGCTCAAGATCTTACCAACTGGTAGAAAGAGGTCAAAAAGTACCTCTCTAGGATAGCCTGCTTCTGCTATTAAGGAATCAAAATGTGAACTTGACTAAACCAGTCTAATTATATCAGTAATAATTTACTCTTTATTAAAGAGTTACTCTGCTATAGATTAGACACTAGCCTCGGCAGTTTTATATACCTCATTCCATTGAATCCCCACAACAGTCCTAGTACATAGATATAATGATCCCTAACGCTTCAGCTAAAAGATTGAATAACTTGCCCAAGTTTATAATTATTAAGTAGGGGATCCAGGAACTGACTGCAAAGCTCATGCTCACAACCTTTAACCGGTATATACTCCCATGACAACAATGAACATTTATGGAGCACTTACTATGTGCCAGGCACCACATTAAATATGTTAACGTACATTATCTGCAACCTTCCCGAAAGCTCTGCAAGACTGATATTATTAGAATCATATATTTTATTTCTTTTCTTTTCTTTTCTTTGAGATGGGAGTCTCGCTCTGTCGCCCAGGCTGGAGTGCAGTGGTGAGATGTTGGCTCACTGCAACCTCTGCCTCCTGGGTTCAAGCGATTCTAATGCCTCAACCTCCGAAGTAGCTGAGATTACAGGTGTGCACCATCACGCCCAGCTAATTTTTGTATTTTTAGTAGAGATGGGGTTCCGCCATGTTGGACAGGCTGGTCTTGAACTCCTGACCTCAGGTGATTCGCCTATCACTGCCTCCCATAGTGCTGGGATTACAGGTGTGAGCCACCATGCCTGGTCATTAAAATCATATATTTCTTTCCCGTAGGCTACAGTACCATCAAGATAAGACAGTATTTTAATGACACAAAGTGAGGCCTAACCAATCCTAAACTGCACATTAGCTTTAGACTTAAGAACGGGGGATATTTTAGAATGTTTCCAATTATACTGTTGATATAAGGTAAATCTTTCTTCTGGTTAAACATGCTGCAGTGGATGTGGTCTTCATTCTAAAGCTTCAGGCAGGCCCCATATCATGAGTCCAGGCAAGGCTTTTGAGGCTGTAGACAGTTGCACTAGAAGCACTCCAAGGAGCCAAGTCCTCATCTACCTCCCTGAACTCAGCCCCCCCGCTGTTTAAGATTTTTGAGAAGATTGAAAGGAGAGTGCTCTAGAAGACTTCATTCATGTAAAGAATTACGGTAAGAGTATACATTGATGCCCATTAAAAAGACTACAAATTTACTACAGTGTTTCTCATGCTACTAAGAGAATAACCTCCATATAAGTGATTTTTTGTGTGGTCCAAGAGACTGGAAAGTGAGAATTGAAAGAAAAAAAGCTCTCGTTGATTCTTTGTAACTTAAAGTCGCTGCAGGAAGAACATGGCAAGGTCTCTGCACAATTATTCTTTGCTTTCTTTTCAGTTCATTAATCTATGCTTAAATCGAATTAACTTGGTATCCTAATGCATTCCTTTCTATCATTTTTCAGCTGAAGGCCTGAAAAACCTGAAGAAGATGTGTTTATTTCATTTGACCCACTTGTCTGACATTGGAGAGGGAATGGATTACATAGTCAAGTCTCTGTCAAGTGAACCCTGTGACCTTGAAGAAATTCAATTAGTCTCCTGCTGCTTGTCTGCAAATGCAGTGAAAATCCTAGGTAACTGTTGCTTCCATTAACTGAATGAGGACAGTATAACAGAACATGTGATACTATTATACTAATTCACACTAAATGTCTCAAATGGAAATTTAATTTTAAGGAAAACTGGAAAATAAAAACTTCTCGATAATAAGCAGATTGTTTTTAATGATTTTTCTCCATATTAGAATTAAATCAACTATTGATGGATAATAGGGGAGAATTTCAGAATAATTGAAGATGTAATTTTTAGAGAAAGTGAAAAGGAAGAAAATAAGAAATAGGTGCTTGAAACTTGCCACACAACCGGTCATATAATTTACTGCCTAATAAACATTTAAATGAATGGATAAATGATTGAGAAGTGAGAGATAAAGATTTTCTTAAATGATCTCAGGCTTCTAATTCCTACCCATTGCCCTGTTAAGATGAAGTTAATGTGCATGATATGATAATTGAGCCTTCTGAGTTCCCAAAGGGATGCATATCAACTACGGGGAAACTAACTGCATATTTCTGGATAAACTATACATGTGTAATTCAGACATATTTTAAAATTTAGATTTTGGAAAACAGTGGTATAATCTTTTTAAAGTTAAACTATATAACTGCTGGGAGTCTCTAAAGATAACTAAGGAAGCCATTTGTATACTAATATAAAGTTACAGCTAGAGAAACCCACAGTTGAAAAAGGCTGGATAAGTACTGGGAATATGAGAACAATGAGCACATGCCTTTATTTCTCTACTTACTGATGGGGAGAGACAGGCTTAGAACTGCAAATAGCAAACGTACTCTTTTAAAGAGAAGTTCAGCAGGTTTTTTATTGTAGAGCACAAAACCCAGAAGATACTTTAAGAAAAGGGCTCATATGATTGATTAAAAATAATAATAGCCAATATTATAACAAGAGTACATATTCATGAAAAACTTGTCTGATTTTTTTAAAAAGGAGATTTTTCTAGCCCTGACAGAAAAAACTTCAGCTAGATTAAGCAAGAGTGATAATATGTGAAGAAAAGCACTAAGCAATTCTTAGCTAGACTGGTACTATTATATAATTAATGTTTGCATGCAAAATAGTTTTCCATTACCTCAACATATTTGTGTCTTTGTCATTCAAACACGTCTTTTGTACACAGCATAAAACTGGGTCTTGCTTTAAAAAAAGTTCTGAATATCTGATTATCTCTGCCTTTTAATTGGAGTGTTTAGTCCATTAAGATTTAATGTAATTGTTGATATGGATAAATTTGAATCTGCCATTTTGCTATTTGTTTTTTTTCTCATCCATTTTTTACTATGTTTTTATTATTAATATCTCAACTATTATGTCAATAAAATCATCTAAGTTGAGGTACACAAAACCAGCTCATTTCATTTTTGTTGTTGTTGTTGTTCCTGTTTCTCCTGCATGATTAACGGCATTTTATAATTGAAGCAACTTTACATTTTATCTGGTCCAACTACCTCATTCTATAGAGGAAGACATTGAGGCTTAGAGAGACCAAGTGATTTTTCCATGATGACATAACAACTACATCCCATGCTGCTTTAGGTTCTACGTGACCTGGAATTCATTAATCAGAACCTAGGACCAATGACTATTTGCCCATTTGGTCATAACCATGGGATTTGGGGGTTACACCTACACCAGAGCCTTTGGAAATAATTAAAATAACCAAGGCAAGTTATGGTTTGCACTACCATTAGCAGAGAAGATAAAACTCAGAATTATTCTAAGGATACTTCAAAATACATTTATATTTACCTGAAAATCTTTTTATTTTGGATTACTTTTTTTCCCCAGCTCAGAATCTTCACAATTTGGTCAAACTGAGCATTCTTGATTTATCAGAAAATTACCTGGAAAAAGATGGAAATGAAGCTCTTCATGAACTGAGTAAGAATGACAATTCAGCCAAAATTAGATACTTGAATATGTATACTGGGTAGTCGAAATACATAGCCTGGGTCCTGAGGTCTTTTATACCCATGTGTGCCTTACTAGATGCACCCTCCTTAGGAAAATCATTTAGGCCTTTCTTAAACTGCCCTTAAGGAACACAGGCCCATGTCTTTTAAGTCACCAGTTTACATATGCTCACTGCACTTTGAGGCGGTATCCCACCTGCTTTCCTCCTTTGAAGAGGCAACTGTCAAGAGTAGCCGATGTGCAAGACAAATTTGCTTAAGGAATTGGTGATATGATTTTTTAGGTGTGATAGTGATATGTGATTATGGTTAAAAGAAAAAAAAGGAAAGAACTGATTCATATTGTCCATGATTTGCTTTAGAATAATACAGGAGGAATTAGGTCAGGATTAAGCAAGATTGCCCATGATTTAATGTTTTTGAAGGTGTCTTATTAGTATATATAGTTTCATTATATTCTTCTGCATAATGTTTGTATATGCTTGAATACTTTCCAAAAAAAAACCAAAAATTAAGTAGATTCTCATTACAGATTGAGTAGGCTGCAGAGCCACCAAACATAAAGATCATTCCTCCCCTAACACCCCTTTGTTCTTCCTCAGTTTTGAGACCATCCAGTCCCTGAACTGCTCTTTGTTTCTTCCAGTCGACAGGATGAACGTGCTAGAACAGCTCACCGCACTGATGCTGCCCTGGGGCTGTGACGTGCAAGGCAGCCTGAGCAGCCTGTTGAAACATTTGGAGGAGGTCCCACAACTCGTCAAGCTTGGGTTGAAAAACTGGAGACTCACAGATACAGAGATTAGAATTTTAGGTAGGTACACACATACAGAGCCAAGATAACTGGATTTGGCCCTTAAAAAATTCTTAAGTTGGCTTTGCTTATTTTGCCCCCTTATTTTATTTTGCTTCCTCTTTTTTTTAAAATATAAATATGTCTAATGAATTCATTCACGTTAGAGTAAGAAGACTTAAAACACTGGCCTTCCTTCAGATTCTATTTCCTTTACCTACAGAATTAAATGAAAAGCATTCACAGTATCCAACAAGATGTATTATATTAGTCATAGCTCTTACTAGCCTTAACTTTCTGAAATTCAGCAATGCCCCTCCCTCCAATATCAGGAAATATTTTCAAGTTACTTACTGGGTATTCAAAACATATAAAGGCGAATGTAGCTGTATCTAAATAGAGCCACAAAATATCTTTAAATAGCTGTAATATTATCCAGAAACAAATAGATCTATATAAATGACTGAAGACACCACCAACCTCAGGCAGTTGATGAAAGAAGCCTTCATACTATCTGTATTAGTTTTCAATTCCTGTATAACATATGGCCTCAAAACATAATGGCTTAAAACAATAACCATTATCTCACAGTTTCTGTGGTTCAGGAATTTAGGAGTTTAGCAGGTTAGCTCTGGCTTGACCTCTCTCATGAGAGGGGCTGCTGGAGGATCTCCTTCCAAGGTAGCTTCTCACATGGTTGGCAAGTTAACACTGGCTGTTGGCTGGAGGCCTCACTTCCTCATCATTAGACCTCTTCACAGGCTGTGAGTGTCCTCACAACATGGCAGCCCACTCATTTCTGGTCACTTCTGACATATCCCACTGGTTGCACAAGTTATTCCAATCCAGCGTATGGAAACATTAATACAAGGAGGTCAGGCTCATCAGGTTCAACTTGGAAGCTATCATACTAAAGCCAAGGACTTGTGAAAACAGCCTCGATTGCCTTCATTTCTCTTACAGATTGTCTAAAATGTGTTTAGTTTACGTAACGTACAATTTATTAAACTGTTTTTGTTCTTTGTTTTTTGTTTTTTTTTTAGACAGAGTCTTGCTCTGTCGCCCAGGCTGGAGTGCAGTTGCGCAATCTTAGCTCACTGCACACTCCACCTCCCTAGTTCATGCCATTCTCCTGCCTCAGCCTCCCGAGGAGCTGGGACCACAGGCGCCAGCCACCACGCCTAATTTTTTTTTTTGTATTTTTAGTAGAGATGGAGTTTCACCGTGTTAGCCAGAATGGTCTTGAACTCTTGACCTCGTGATCCGCCTGCCCTGGCCTCCCAAAGTGCTGGGATTAAAGGCTTGAGCCACCGCACCCGGCCCTATTTAAACTGTTTTTAAGTGTAAAAGCTTTGTGGCATTAAGTACATTCATATTATTGTGCCACTATCACAACATCCATCTCCAGAGCTTCTTCATCTTCCCATATATACACACACATATATATGTCCCCAACACTGGAGAACCTAGATATATAAAGCAAATATTGTTAGAGCTAAAGAGAGAGATAGAACCCAATACAACAATAGCTGGAGACTCGACACCCCATTTACAGCATTGGACAGATCTCCCAGACAGAGAATCAACAAAGAAACATCAGACTTAATCTGCACTATACACCAAATGGACCTATATTTATAGAGCATTTCATCCAACAGCTGCAGAATACACATTCTTCTCCTCAGCACATGGATTATTCTCAAGGATAGACCACATGTTAGGCCACAAAATAAGTCTTAAAAAATCCCCCAAAATTGAAATCTGATTCAAGTATCTTCTCTGACCATAATAGAATAGAATAAAACTAGAAACCAATAACCAGAGGAACTTTGGAAACTATACAAACATATGGAAATTAAACAACATGCTCTGGAATGACAAGTGTGCCAATGAAGAAATTCAGAAGGAAACTGAAAAATTTCTTGAAATAGGCTGGGTGTGGTAGCTGATGACTATAATCCCAGCACTTTGAGAGGCCAAGGTGGGAGGACTGCTTGAGCCCAGAAGTTTGAAACCAGCCTGGGCAATATGGTAACATGTCGTCTCTACAATTAAAAAAAAAAAAAAAAAAATATATATATATATATATATATATATATATTTAAAATTTCTTAAGACAAATGAAAATGGAAACACAACATACTGAAACCTATGGGATACAGTGAAAGCAGTATGTCCCCTCCCCTCCTTCCCTCCCTCCCTTCCTTCTTCCTTTCCCTCCCTCCCTTCCTTCCTTCCTTCCTTCCTTCCTTCCTTCCTTCCTTCCTTCCTTCCTTCCTTCCTTCCTCCCTCCCCCACCCCTCTCTTTCTCTTTGAGACAGGGTCTCCCTGTTGCCCAGGCTGGAGTGCAGGGATGTGATCACAGCTCACTAACCTTGAACTTCTGGGCTCAAGGGATCCTCCTTCCTCAACTACCCAAGTAGCTGGGACTAGAGGCCACTATGCTCCGCTAATGGACCTTCCTCTTCAACGACCTTCCCTTCCACTCTCCTTCATCCATTCATTCTATGAGCATGCAATGACTAGATTATGACAAGCCACTTAAAATTGTTCTACCTGCAAAATAATAAATGCAGATATCCCATTCTCAAACCACAACCTCCTGTATTTCTATCTACTCCTAATCACCAGTTCTTTTACTTCACTGGGACTTCCAGTCCGTCGATCCCGCTACCTTCTACCTATTTTTCAGGCCCTTTCTATTTTGACTTGCCTTCCTACCTAGTTTCAACTCCATCTTCCATCCCTGCAAACATTCTTGTCTTTAATAGCTGAAATTCTCATGGCCCACAGTAGCATGAGTCAATTCAGGCAATGACTTTGAGTGATGGATGTGTGTGATAGATGCAATGGTGAAATGAAGAGTGTAATGAGAGATGGAGTCTCTAATTAAAGAAAGACTACCTAATGAGATGCAGGCAGAACATGAGATGTGGAATGAGAGGTATGAAATGAAATATAGTAGATGGGGTGTACTTTCCTGACAAAACCCCAGGCCTGGATTGTCCTTAAATTTCCCTTTTTAAAATTTTGTAACTACACTTAGGATACTGGGGAAAAACTGCAAAATTTGGGAGATAAATACAAGTTCATACTGACAAATTTCAACGAAAATATTTAGAAGTGAATGGTAAGAAAACGCTGTATATCAAAACTTGTAGCATGCAGCAAAAGGCAGCAAAAAAGAGTAACTTTACAGTGGAGAAAGCTGTTGACACTACCTTGGTCAGGTGAACAAGGTCAACATTAACAGTGGTGATTCATGTTGATAGTATGTACCTAGATATGACATGACGAAAATAGTACTTTACCTCTATGATATTCCTCCCCAAAGATCCATATCCCCCATCTAATGATGAGAAAAACATCAAACAATCCTAACTGAGGGACTTCTACACAAAACTGACCAGTATTCCTTGAAACTGTCAAGGAAATAAAAAACAAGGTGATTGTGAGAAATCGTCATAAGCATGAGGAACCTAAAGAGACATGACAATGAAATGTAATGTCCTATCCTGGATGAGTTCCTGCAACAGAAAAAAAGACATTTGGTCAAAACTAAGGCTGGGTGTGGTGGCTCACGCCTGTAATCCCAGCACTCTGGGAGGCCGAAGTGGGCAGATTGCTTGAGCCCAGGAGTCCGAGCCCAGTCTGAGCAACATGGCAAAACTCAATCTCCAAAAAATTAGCTGGGTGTGGCAGCGTACGCCTGTAGTCCCAGCTACCTGGGAGGCTGAGGTGGGAGGATGGCTTGAGCTCAGGAAGTTGAGGCTGCAGTGAGCTGTGATCATGCCACTGCATTGCAGCTTGGGTGACAGAGTGACACCCAGTCCCCCACCCCCCCCCCACAAAAAAAAATAGAAAAAGAAAGAAAGTGAAAATACAACCTACAGAATGTGAAAAAAAAATTGCAGATCACATTATCTAATAAAGGACTTCCATCTTGAATATATAAAAAAACTCTTATGGCCGGGCGTGGTGGCTGACACCTGTAATCCCAGCACTTTGGGAGGTTGAGGCAGGTGGATCACAAGGTCAGGAGTTCGAGACCAGCCTGGCCAATATGGTGAAATCCCATCTCTACTAAAAATACAAAAAAATTAGCCGGGCGTGGTGGCACATACCTGTAATCCCAGCTACTCTGGAGGCTGAGGCAGAAGAATTGCTTGAATCCTGGAGGCAGAGGTTGCAGTGAGCCGAGATTGCGCCACTGCACTCCAGCCTGGGTGACAGAGTGAGACTCCATGTCAAAAAACAAAACAAAAAAACTCTTACAACTCACTGATAAAAAATGCAAATAACCCAATTTGTAAAATGGGCAAGAATCTGAACAGACATTTCACCAAGGAAGATATGTAAATCGCAAAATAAATAGCAGAAAACATAATCAATATCATTAGCCATCAGGGTAATAATGTAAACCAAAACTACAATGAGATACCACCTGAGACCCACTAGGGATGGTTATTATTTTTTATTAAAAGACATACAATAACAAGTGTTGTTGGCAAGGATACGGAGAAATTCATATGCTGGTAGTTAGAATGTAAAATGATGCAGCTGCTGAGGAAAACATTCTGGCAAGTTGTTCAAAATGTTAAACATAGAGTTGTCATATGACCCAGCAACTCTCTTCCTAGGTACTCAAGATAAATGAAAACCAATATCCACATAAAAACTTGTATATTAATGTTTATAATAGCATGTTTAGTAGCTCAAAAGTGGAAACAACTCAAATGTCCATCAAATAATGAATGGATTAAAAAATGTAGTATGAAAAAAATTAGCTGTGTGTGGTGGCACATGCCTGTAATCCCAGCTACTTGGGAGGCTGAGGCAGGAGACTCTCTTGAACCGAGAAGGTGGAGGCTGCAGTGAGCCAAGATCGCGCCACTGAACTCCAGCCTGGGTGGGAGAGTGAGACTCTACCTCAAAAAAAAAAAAAAAAAATAGCGGGGGCTGGGCCCAGTGGCTCACGTTTGTAATCCCAGCAGTTTGAGAGGCCAAGGCGGGTGGGTCACCTGAGGTCAGGATGGCACCACTGCACTCCGGCCTGGGAGACAAAACAAACAAACAAACAAAAAACAGTGAATAAACACAATCTCTCTTAATATTTCCTGGCAATCTTACTGTGTTTCTGTATTCAACACTGTATGTAAACTATTTCACACTTTTTTCTTCTCAATCAGTACTCAGCGTCTCCTATTTCACAGAGGATGTGACTGTTATTTTTTTCTCTCCTTCTCCTTAGAGCTTATAGGTTTCTCTTCTCCTACCTAAGGGCAGTCTCTTTAGCAGTGCTTGAGATGCCAGCCTCACCCTCACTCCAGTTCAGGGACATCATTTTATTGACTGTGCCTCTTGTTACTGACTCCCTCCTGTCAGTTTTTAAAGTTGCTCAAATCTCTTCCATTTTAAATAAAACTCTCCCTGAGTCCTATCTTCCTCCTTTGGTTATCATTCTATCTCTCCTCTCCTTCAAGGTAAAAGCTCTAAAACAAATTTTATGTACCCTTATGACATCTCCATTTCCTGACCATCTGCTACTTTCTACTCATTGCATCTGACTCTCCACACCCCTCCATGTGGCTGAATTTCAATAGACACTTTCAGAAGTGTTTAATTTATTTGATTCCTCCGCAGGAGTTGACACTGAGCATTCCCTTCTTTTCAAAACATTCTCTTGACCTCCATGCCACCTTGGCTACTTCTCAGTCTTCTTTTCAATGGTGATTCCTCTACCCAGATATTAAATGTTTCTAGTTTTCCTTAAAGCTTGGTCTAGACTATCTGCTGTTCTTCCTCAGAGATTGCATTTGATCTCCAAGCTTTGCCATGTTTTGCTTGACTCCCAAAATTTTGTTTCTTACCCATCAGCAATCTGAGACTACAACATAAAAATCATTGCTAGCTCAGGTATCTATTTCACCTGTTTTTTTGTTTGTTTTGTTCCAGGCTGCAGTGCAGTGGTGCGATCTTGGCTCACTGCAACCTCCGCTTCCTGGGATTCTCTGTTCTCTATTCGCTTCTCTGAATCTCAAGTGATTCTCCTGCCTCAGCCTCCCCAGTAGCTGGGATTACCGGTCCATGCCGCCACTATAAGTATGTGCCATTATAAGTGTGTGCACTATGCCCAGCTAATTTTTGTATTTTTAGTAGAGACGAGGTTTCATCATGTTGGCCAGGCTGGTCTCAAACTCCCGACCTCAAGTGATCTGCCTGCTTCAGCCTCCCAAAGTGCTGGGCTTACAGGCATGAGCCACCATGCCTGACCAATTTCACCTGCTCTAACAAAACCCTTTGTTAAATGGTATCTTTCAACTTGGATGTTTGAAGCTGAACTCTGCTATCCAGCCTGTTCTCAAAGAGAGCTCATGCCTGTAATCCCAGCACTTCGTGAGGCCAAGGTGGGTGTATCACTTGAGGTCAGGAGTTCAAAACCAGCCTGGCCAACATGGTGAAACCCTGTCTCTACTAAAAATACAAAAATTAGCTGGGCGTAGTGCACATACTTATAATCCCAGCTATACGGGAAGCTGAGTTGGCAGGATCACTTACTTGAGCCAGTGGGGCAGATTGCAGTGAGCTGAGATTGCACCACTGCACTCCTGGGCAACAGAGCCAGAACCTGTCTCAAAAAAAGAAAAAAAAAAAGCCATCGCAGACCCTATTCATGTTCTAGAAGCTCTGTGTTAAATCCTGGGCCCAATCATTCTGCTGTATAGATCCCGCTATCATATTTTATTTTCCAAAAGCTCTTTCTTAGCATCTTATTGTTGCTGAGTAGATGCAGTCTACTGAAAAACTTAGGATCTCTGAAAAACTTAGGTCTTTGGAGTTTGATTTTTCTTGTTTTCTACAGTGCCTGATTTCTTTGGGAGTTGTTTTGGCTTTTAGTCTCAGTCTTCCTTGTGGGAGGCTGTTGTCAAATGTCTGATAATCCTGCACTGTCCTCTTCACATTTTAGAGGGAGACACAAGTTGATAGGGAGTTCTGTGTGTCTAAGGGAGGCGGTGAATTTTTGACAGGCTAACTCCACTAGGGGGTGATTGGGCAAGCAAAATGGCCCCTTCTTTGTAGGGCCTTTTCCCGGGGGGCAGTTCCATTTCTCCTAAGAATCCTCCAGTCTTCCTCCTGGAGCATATAAGCCCAATTGCAAGTGTTCTGGGAACAAAGTGGAGTGGGAAAGCCTATTGCTTTTGTGTGCTCCCAGGGTACCCTGACCTACCATAGCACCCACCACCCATCTAATTACTTTATAATGCATGTCTTCACACTATTTTGTAAGCCCATTTAGACAGGGACCATGTCTGTCGTTTACACATATCCCCAGCACCCAGCATAATCCGCAGCACATAGTAGCACTAAAGATGTTGCTGAATGAATAAACAGTGAGAACTCTGGTACTCGTTCAGGTGAACTACAGGACAACACAAATGAAGAGTTGTGTTTGGGATACAGGAACCCCCAAGAATCAGAACCCTTCTACCCAGGGCATCTGAGATTTTTCCTGGAATTCCAATCAAGCCATTTGCACTCTCCACAGCCCACATACAGCCTATGGCTCTAAATGTCATGGATTCTGTTTCTCTTGGATCTAGTCTGCTCCTCATAACATAAGCACTGCAGATTAAATGAACAAAAGGCATGCCCTTGGCTTATGACAAATGTTGTTTGTTCTTGGTTCCTGCACTAGCACACATTCCAATAATTATCTAAGAAACTCTCTTAAATTGATGATAAGATCCTTATACCTTAGTAGATAACCACTATAAATTGCTCACCCTGTGAGGGTGGAATGGGCTTTAAATTCTTCTTAAATTCCTTTTAGGTGGTGAAAATATGTTCTGCTAGCTGAGAAGGAGAAAAAAAGTTGATCTTTGGGGAAAGAGCCTTAAATAGACACACAACTGGCAACCAGCATTTGGACTGAGTGCATGCCATGCTGGGAAGCATATGGAGAAGGGGCAAAGGCAGAAAGGACATGAACATGAGATGGAAGAGAGAGCAGGGAGAAAGCCATCCTCCAAGGAACAGAGGAGGTGGAAGGCAGGGGAAAGTAAGGACCTAGGTACTATTTGGGCTGGGCATAGGCTACGCTGTGATAACAGAGACCCAACTATACCATGGCTTACAGAAGGCAGAACTTGATTCTCTATCATGTAACAGTCCAGAAATGAGCAGTCCAGGCAGGTGGGGTGGTTTTCCTCTGTGCAGTCTTTCAGGCCCAGACCCCTACTTTTTTTTTTTACTCCTCTATTCCTTAAGAGTGTTATTTTTGACTTTATGGCCATAGCTAGGTCACTGCCCTGTGATCATTTCAACCTAGTAGAAGAGGGGAAAAGCGGAAAAGTGACATGGAAGTTGCACACATCACTTCTGCCTATACTTCCTTGGCAAAAATTTAGCCACACCTAATAGCAAGGGAGGTTGGGATATGAGTGGCCATATGCCGAAATAAAACTCTATTAACTATGGAATAAGGAGAGACAGTTTTGGGAACAACTAGCAGTCTGTCTCACTTTTCTTCTCTTTTTTTTTTTGAAATGGAGTTTCACTCGTTACCCAGGCTGGAGTGCAATGGTGTGATCTCTGCTCACCGCAACCTCTGCCTCCTGGGTTCAAGTGATCCTCCTGCCTCAGCCTCCCGAATAGCTGGGATTACAGGCATGCACCACCACGCCTGGCTAATTCTGTATTTTTACTAGAGACGGGGTTTCTCCATGTTGGTCAGGCTGGTCTCAAACTCCTGACCTCAGGTGATCTGCCCGCCTTGGCCTCCCAAAGTGCTGGGATTATAGGCATGAGCCACCGCACCCGGCCTCTGTCTCACTTTTCAAATTAATAAAAGTGGCAAAGAAGGCCCAAAGATGGTGTCAGTGACACTGACCATGGGTAAGAGACATGAAGGCAGAACCCTGTGAATCATCTCCTTACCTGGCTTTGCCCACTTTAGCCGCTAGCATCTTGACCACGGTCAGGCAGGGCCAATCACTTTAGGTGTCTGTAAAGAAGAACCTGAAGACCTTTCGAAACTCAAGACCTTATGATGGTGATAAAAGCATTGGCTGACATTGACTAAGGACACACTCTAGAATGTACTTAGTTGCACTGAACAAACTACACAAGGCCATGCAGTGACATCAGACACCAAATTCACAGATCTCCTCTCACTACGGAGCTGGTAAACACCTTTACTGAAAGTGGGTAAGGGTATAGTTTCAGTGCATAACTAGGTTGACCTCACCCACGTAAGCTGGTCGGACAAGACTGTCCATTTCTGTCATTAAGCCCTCATTACTGGTAGCAGATACCTTTTAGTCTTTGCTTGCTAACCTTAAGGTTGTACAGCACCGAATCTTTCCTTCTTTAACTTGAACTCTTTAGTGGT
The DNA here is from genome assembly GCF_000001405.40 of Homo sapiens. NCBI lineage: Eukaryota > Metazoa > Chordata > Mammalia > Primates > Hominidae > Homo > Homo sapiens. Next base: position 32,226,030 of record NC_000002.12, on the reverse strand, counting down.
CTTCTCACTGAGACAATGGAAAGGAACTTTTAAAACCTCTTTTCCTACTTGGAATCCAAACTGAATCATGGACCTTCATTTCCATAAGGGTCAGTTTCTGGAACATTATCTAATATTACACATCTCCCAAGAAACACAAGTTTAATATACAACAAATTAACCCTCCAAAGTTGGGTGAGGTACACTAAGACTAAGATGAGCTCGGATGAGCCGAGTAATGTGGATTGATAAACCAGGCATACATCTTCTGCATTTTGTGTGTGATACTCTGGAGTATAAACATGTAAGTAAGAGTTCCCATGTCCAGTCTGCCTGTCTGTCCACTCTGTACTTCAAGGTGAACTTAGTCATCCAGAAAGGGCCAGGTAGGTGGGTAGGGCTAACGCTTTGCACAATTTAATATGTGTAATTAACACAGAGCTAGTTTTGTGAAATCCTAATGTTGTATACTGGCCAATCTGTATGATGGTAAATAACCTGAAAGAAAGGTATTTTTTCTTATTGCAAGACTCACTTGGGTTCCAGTACCACCTAAACTGGTAACATGGGATAAAGAATGAACACTAAACTATTTGTGTATGTATACACACACACACACACACACACACACACACACACACATCCTTTGTATGTATGTGTGTGTGTGTGCATTCTTTGTGTATCAGAAAGACAGGATATCCACCTACCCTATGTAGGAAATACTTTAGGTGCCCTATTCTGTAAGGAATGGAGGAACTTCCTGAAGAGGCTCGGGAGGGTTATACATAAACAGGTAAACAAAAACACCCAAATCTTTAGATACTGAAGGAGGCTCACTTACTCAAGTTTACAGTTAGGAACATACCCATAGAAACAACAGTTAGGTGGTGTTTACTTTTTCAGAAGAGGAAACGACTTAATATTGCCAAAGATTGACTCCAGTTTTGAAAACAAGTACTGAATATTTAATTAAAGCAACCTTCCATTTCCTAGGAGTAAGGAAAAGGGGAAAAAAAAGTAATTCATTTACATATTGTTGCTACCTCACTACGAATCACTATTTATCAGATTCCCTTATACTCTAGGAAAATATAATAGACCATATTCACAATCACTGCCCTAGCTATAGAGAATTATATTAATAATTTCTTTCTGAGGCAAAGCACTGGTTCAAACATGGCCATTTCAGAGTGAAAAAAAAGTATGTAAAATAAATGTAGAACCTATTTCTCTTTTTTTTTAAAAAAAATTTTTCTTCCAACTAATATACTTATTTCTTTACCCAGGTGCATTTTTTGGAAAGAACCCTCTGAAAAACTTCCAGCAGTTGAATTTGGCGGGAAATCGTGTGAGCAGTGATGGATGGCTTGCCTTCATGGGTGTATTTGAGAATCTTAAGCAATTAGTGTTTTTTGACTTTAGTACTAAAGAATTTCTACCTGATCCAGCATTAGTCAGAAAACTTAGCCAAGTGTTATCCAAGTTAACTTTTCTGCAAGAAGCTAGGCTTGTTGGGTGGCAATTTGATGATGATGATCTCAGTGTTATTACAGGTGCTTTTAAACTAGTAACTGCTTAAATAAAGTGTACTCGAAGCCAGTAAGTGCTCTGGGACCTCATTATTTTAAGCCTGGTAGTTAAAAAAAATCTTGCAAAAGGATGCCAAAGAAGATAAGGACGTGGAAAGAAGTTTAATTTGATGATTAAAAACATGCAACAGTTTTGTGTCTTAGCTCTCCTACTAGGATTATCGGCGCCTTGAAGGAATTCTCATTCATCTTTGTGTTACCTTTGGTCTGGGTCACACCAACTGGTATACTGAATGCATATTAACTTAGTATAGTGCCTGGCATGTAAGAGATTCTCAACAATATTCTCAATAAATATTCGCTGAATATGAGATAAATTATTAATAGCTACTGAATAAAGAAAGATTATTTAAAACCAGAGAGGAAACTCCATATATGTTCTTTAATCCAAACAGTTTAATTCAAGCAATCTGGAATATAAAAAGCACTTTCTGATATTAGAAGGAGATCAGACTCCCAAAAAAGATCAGCATTCTTTAGTCAAGCAAAACTTGGAAGTTTACAAACAGCTAAATCAGAAGCTTGAAATTCAGGTCCTCTCCAGTACCTGCTACATTATATGTAATTCCAAACATGACTTCAGAGATTAAAGAAGAAAGGGAAGATGTTTCCCATTCTTTTGTACCCTATATAAACTAAGGGTACCCTGCCCTAATCTTTTTTCCAACACTTCCCCAAATAACCCTTCCTTACAAAGAAAGAAGTCTAAGAGAACTCTCTCATCTAAATATATTTAAGTAGAGGCAAGCCTGAAAAAAACACAAAAACCTAAATGGTGTTAGGCTGTGGTTCACCTATTCTCATGGCACCTCAAATTAATGGCTTGGGTGTTGGTGTAGGTAACGCTTGGCCTGTATGTTGAGGTAGTCACTAGATAAAATTCTGGGCACAACATCCGTTTAGCAATTGGGCATACATTCTACAGATTTAGCCATAACGTTTTGAAGCTGATTATTTTACAGATCAACTAATTAATTCCTCTCCCTAACTTTACAGATGAGAAAGCTCAGATGATTTGCCCATGGGTTATAAAACTACTTCCTTACACAGTGGCAGCATCAGAACTGGAATTCAGATCTCTTGCCTCCTAGGCAGTGTTTTTCCTATTATAATATGGTGACTTCGTAAAGCAGGGTTAATTACATTCCACAAAGCTTACATCCTAATCACAAACAATGGGACAAATATTTAAATTGAACTTCTTTCTCTGTCTAGCTTCAAGTGATTCTGTGGCAAGATTTACTAGTAAGGCTGCTGCCTATAGGCCTATGCTGGGCAAGTTCCTTATTTTCATATCCAGAAGTTAGTCAGAGCTTGGCAAATAAGACTTCTCTATATAATAATGCCTGGCCCAATGTCCCCTGTAACATCTTACATGCAGGACGTAGGGCCAATTCTTTCATAACCCACAGGCAACTGTGAGTGTCCTTTCTCAAATAGTGAAGGTAGGTATTAAAGCACCTTTGGTGGGACAGATGCACAGGTGTTGCCTCTGAATTGGTGTTGAGGAAGTAGGCATAAAACCTCACACAGAACTGTGTTTGGTACCTGAACACTTTAAAATCCTATGGGGATGGGGAAGACATGCATGGGGTGGCAGCACATACCTCTTAACCATAACTCAGGACACGGCAGTTCAGATTTCATGCATGACCCTAATTCATATTTAGTTGAGATCAATGGAGGAAGAAGAATCATCCTGTAATAGTAGACCAATAACAGATACAGTAATAGTTGGAAAACATAAGATAAAGGCCAAGGAACAGGTTGCCTTATTACATTTTACGAAGTATCATTTTCCCCAGTAGTCAAGGTAGTGTAGGCTGTATTTCTTTAGCAGGTCACATGCCTGAACAGGGGTTGCAGATGCCAAAGACAATGACCAACTCCTCACTAAGAAAAAGGTATTTAGGACATGGTCACTTATTACCACAGATGACAATTCTGCTTGACAGAGATGGCTTCTTGGATGTTTTTAATCCACAGTGAAGAAAAAGGATTTCAAAGTGCTGCTCCTATTTGAAAGTGAATGAGTTGACTGAAGAAACTGTTGCAAAAGAAAAACAAAAATCTTCTCTAGATAGCTGGCTGATGGCTGGGAAAGTCATAAATCTCCAGGAGCATTGGATTCCAGGAAAGTTAAGTCCATTCTCAAAATCCCATTTTAAAACTGTTATGGAATGCATAATAAAATAAAACAATAAAAAACCCTCCTAGGTCATGTGTGACTGCTGCTTGTTATACTTTTTGGAAGTAATACTAGCCATGTTAGAAAGTCCTTAAACTCTGCATTTGGAAAACAACTAAAAAATAACATAATCTATGTAATTCTCACATTTCATCACAGTTAACAATTTCCCATTTTTGACAAAGCAAAACAAAAAGAAACTGCCCACTGCAGACCTAACAATGCTGTATTCTATAATCTAAGGTCCATTATGCTTTGGTAAAATTATATATGCTCAAATTCTTTGTGCAACTTGAAAAGACATCAAATTCCATATTATGTATGGAACTCCATGTGTTTTGGTAATATATCTGATATATTTTGTTAATAAAATAAGAAATTAAAAAGCCAATGAATGAAAATGTGTCAGGAAAGATAAATTCATTATGTCAGTATTTGATTAAATGTAACATAGAAAATTGGGATTCTTTCACTGCATATCACCAAAAGTTGGGTAGTCACTTAATCAAAATAAAACACTGAGAACCATGGACTATTTACAAATGTACTAAAATTTTTAAAGGAGAGAAACTTTAACAAAAATCTTGATAATTAAAAATTCAAATTGTGCTAGATAGAATGTATTCCAAAATTTCTGCTAAAAATTTTTGCTTTTAGTTTGTAAGACATAATTCAGGAGAACCTCAAAGAAAAATTTAGCAATTAAGTTTGGAAAAGCTATAAAAGAGACTTTTACTTTTTGAACAGACATTTTTCCCTTTCCCAAAATGTGTATTATTCAAGAAGCATATTTATAAATTTCATTAAAGAAAATATCGGCCAGGTGCGGTGGCTCACACCTAATCCCAGCACTTTGGGAGGCTAAGGTGGGTGGATCATGAGGTCAGGAGTTCAAGACCAGCCTGGCCAACATGGTGAAATCCCCCGTCTTTACTAAAAATACAAAAATTAGCTGGGCGTGGTGGCAGGTGCCTGTAATCCCAGCTACTCGGGAGGCTGAGGCAGGAGAATCATTTGAACTCAGGAGGCAGAGGTTGCAGTGAGCTGAGATCATGCCACTGCATTCCAGCCTGGGCGACAGAGTGAGACTCCATCTCAAAAAACAAAACAAAACAAAAACTAAGGAAGCCTTAATAAAGTACAGCCTTAAGTTAATAATAATGTATTGGCCGGGCACAGTGGCAGAGCAAGACTCCGTCTCGGAAAAAAAAAGAAATATCGTATCTTAGTAATGTGACAGATCTACTCCATCAAGTGGCTCTTATAAAGGTAAGGTCACATCACACTGCAGTCAACTACAAAACCAAAGATACCAAAATCCAAATTTAAAGAAACACATTTTCTAAAGGAAGCCTATTTAAAGCCTTTAACATTTACGAGGATTTCACTGTCACAAATACATTTTACAAAAATATAGTTTCATAGGTTTCATGAAATGTGAACAAGACTACTATTATCTAACATTTAGAGTAAATGATTAAACAGTCAATGCAAAGTTGGATTACTAAATAAATTGGAAGCCAAGGAGTCAATATTCCTTATAAAAATAAGTTAGAGTCTATCATGGTCTTGGTTGTCCAATTCTATTATTAGTTCCATATCTACTTGGTATATTTGTAAAACCAGTCCTCAATCCTTGAGTTGCTCCAATTCCTGGAACTCCAAGTCCTTGATTAAGCATGCTGCTGTAAGGTGTGTGTCCATGATTGAGACCAAAACCATAAGGCCTTGTTTGTGTGTTTAGAAGAATAACTGGGTTCACATTTTTCCCAGGAGTGTTAAATGAAAATTCTGGAGGTGGACTACTAGGTTTAGCTGGAGTTGATGTAACTGGGTTCAAATCATCAGTACCCTTTAAAAGAGGCATTGGGATTACGTGATGATCTGAAAAGTTTAGGACATTGGCTGCAACAGGCCCAGACAATAAGGCAGGCCTAATCCAGTCATCCTTGAAAATTTGAACAGTTAGAGTAGACACTAGAGTGTACAGCCTGTTGGTCACATGAGCAAGAACCATTTGTTCATTGGCATCTCGTCGAATTCTTACATGCACTGATCCAGCCTAAAAGGGGCAAAATCATAACAAAGAGATTGCTTAGAATTATACTAACAAAAAATTCATTAGATAAAACATTTTATTTATGATTTGGTAAGTTCCTGGCATTTTCTTTGAAAGAAAAAGCTTAATGTTAATATTTCTTAAAGACTACTTGCTGGTGATTATCATTGTAATGAGTTAAATAATTTGTGAATCTTTAAAATACAAAAAAAGAAATATCCATGTAGGAACAAGATAGGAATATTATAATACAAGGAAGAATATAAATGAAACATACAAAAAATACAATGTAAGAGCCGAAAAGGTAGGTATTAATTCCAATTGAAGAGGACTTCAAAAGAAGATGGCATTTAATCTACGGTTGGTGATTAAACAGAATTTCAAAAAGTAGAGACGCATTCCACACTGAGGGAAAAGCAATGAAAATGTATGGCATACTTGGTAAGAATAAGCAATAATACCAATATATAAAGAAGTCCTGGCCGGGCGCAGTGGCTCACATCTGTAATCCCAGCACTTTGGGAGGCCGAGGTGGGTGGATTACCTGAGGTCAGGAGTTCGAGACCAGCCTGGCCAACATGGTGAAACCCAGTCTCCACTAAAAATACAAAAAATTAGCCAGGCATAGTGGCGTGTGCCTGTAATCCCAGCTACTTGGCAGACCGAGGCAGGAGAACAGCTTGAACCCAGGAGGCGGAGGTTGCAGTGAGCCAAGATCGCACCACTGCACTCCAGCCTGAGTGACAGAGTGATATCCTATCTTGAAAAAGAAAAAAAAGAAGTCCAAGTATTTCAGGGGGCAGAAGAAGGAGGAGGGAGAGAGAAGAGAGGGAGAGAAGGAAGAGAGGAAGGAAAGAAGAGAAGGAGAAACAGAGGAAAGGGCTGGGTGTGGTGACTCACGCCTGTAATCCCAGCACTTTGGGAGGCTGAGGTGGGCGGATCACCCCTGACGTCAGGAGTTCGAGACCAGCCTGACCAACATGGTGAAACCCCACCTCCACTAAAAATACAAAAATTAGCCGGGTGTGGTGACATGTGCCTATAATCCCAGCTACTCAGGGGGCTGAGGCAGAAGAATTGCTTGAACCTGGGAGGCGGAGGTTGCAGTGAGCCGAGATCACGCCATCGCACTCCCAGCATGGGAAGAGAAGAAGGGAAGAAGGAAGAAAGAAAAATGATAGGTAGGTAATAAGGTTAAAAAGAGGCTACCAGAGGACTCTAAAATGATAAAGAATTTCAATTTAACATCTGCAACCTAACAGAAATAAATAATCAGAGTTCAGAAAAATTGTAGGTATAGATGACTGGAAATCAGGTAGGAAAAAAACTTCAACAATCTAGATTATAAATGAGGAGAGCTGCCAAGTGCAGTGGCTCATGCCTATAATCCCAGCACTTTGGGAGGCCAAGGCAGGTGGATCACCTGAGGTCAGGAGTTTGAGACCAGCCTGGCCAACATGGCGAAATCACGTCTCTACTAAAAATACAAAAATTAGCTGGGCATGGTGGCATGCACCTGTAATCCCAACTACTCAGGAGGCTGAGGCAGGAAAATCACTTGAATCCAGGAGGCAGACGTTGCAGAGAGCAGAGATCATGCCACTGCACTCCAGCCTGGGAGACAGAACAAGACTCTGTCACAAAACAAAACAAAACAAAACAAAACAAAACAAAACAAAACAAAACAAAACAAAAGAGGAGAGCTGAGCCAGGCCAAAAATAGTGGGATCAGAGAGGGACAGACAGATATATCATATTCCAGAGGTAGTAATGGAAGGACTTGATACCCAGCTGGAAGTAAAGGATGAGGAAGATTGACTCATCAAAGATGATATCAAGGCTTCTAAGGGATAGAGAACACCAGGCATTACAATGAGAGTTAGAAGTATATTTGTTAACTTGAAAAAGTGTTTACCATAAATTATGGGTTTTTTTGGTTTTGTTTTTTTGTTTTCTTTGTAGAGATGAGGTCTCACCGTGTTGCCCAAGCTGGTCTCGAACTCCTAGGTTCAAGCGATCCTCCTGCCTCAGCCTCCCAAAGTGCTGGGATTACGGGCGTGAGCCACCATGCCCGGTCCATAAATTATGTTTTTAAAGTAGATAATCAGCAAATGATCCTATTTTGGTTAACACAAACACACACACACAGACTCCCCCAGCCTGAGCAACATGGTGAAACCCCATCTCTACAAAAAATAAAAAAAATTAGCTGGGCGTGGTGGCACACATCTGTAGTGCCAGCTACTCAGCTACGCAGGAGGCTGAGGTGGGAGAATTGATTGAACCTTAGAGGTCGAGGCTGCAGTGGCTGCACCACTGCACGCCAGCCTGGGTGACAAAGAGAGACCTTGTATCAAGAAAAAAAAAAAAAGAATTCAATCCCATTTACAATATCCACAAAAGAAATAAAATACCTAGAAATACATCTAACCAAAGAGGTGAAAGATCTCTACAAGGAGAACTATGAAACACTGCTCAAAGAAATCACAGATGATACAAACAAATGGAAAAACATTCCACGCTCATGGATTGGAAGATCAGTATCATTAAAATGGCCATATTGTCCAAAGCAATCTATAGATTCCATGCTATTACTATCAAACTACCAATGTCATTTTTCATAGAAGTAGAAAAAAATATTTTAAAATACATATGGAACCAAAAAAGAGCCCAAATAGCCAAAGAAATTCTAAGCAGAAAGAACAAAGCTGGAAGCATCACATTACCTGAATTCAAACTATAAGGCTACAGTAACCAAAACAGCATGGTACTGGTAAAAAGACAAACACATAGACCAATGGAACAGAATAAAGAACCCAGAAATAAAGCCACATACCTACAGCCATCTGATCTTTGACAAAGTCAACAAAAATAGGCAGTGGGGAAAGGACTACCTATTCAATAAATGGTACTAGGATAGCTAGCTAGCCATATGCAGAAGAATGAAGCTGGACCTTCACTTTCACCATATAAAAAGATTAACTCAAGATGGATTAAAGATTTAAATTTAAGACCTCAGCAGGGTGCTATGGCTCATGCCCTGTAATCCCAGCACTTTGGGTGGCCGAGGTAGGCAGATCACCTGAGGTCAGGAGTTCAAGACCAGCCTGACCAACATGGTGAAACCCTGTTTCTACAAAAATGGAAAAAAAAAAAAAAATTTGCCGGGCGTGGTGGCAAATGCCTGCAGTTTCAGCTACTTGGGAGGCTGAGAAGGAAAAATCACTTGAACCCAGGAGGCAGAGGTTGCAGTGAGCTGAGATCATGCCACTGCACTCCAGCCTGGGTGACAGAGCTAGACTTCGTCTAAAAAAAAAAACAGACCTCAAAACTGTAAGAATCTTGCGAGACAACCAAGAAACACCTACAGAATGGGAGAAAATATTTGCAAACTATGCATCAGACAAAGATCTGATATCAGAATCTATACAGAACTTAAAAACTGAACAAGCAAAAAACAACCCCATTAAAAAATGGGAAAAAAACATGAAGATACATCTCAAAAGAAGTCATACAAGTGGCCAAGAAGCATGAAAAAAATGCTCATCATCACTAATCAGCAGAGAAATGCAAATCAAAACCACAATGAGATACCATCCTACACTACTCAGAATGGCTACTATCATTATTATTATTTATTTATTTATTTATTTATTTATTTATTTATTTATTTATTTATTTTGAGAGAGTCTTGCTCTCTTGCCCAGGCTGGAGTGCAGTGGCGCAATGTCAGCTCACAGCAACCTCCACCTCCTGGGTTCAAACAATTCTCCTGCCTCAGCCTCCCAAGTAGCTGGGATTATAGGCCCACGCCACCATGCCCAGCTAATTTTAGTATTTTTAGTAGAGATAGGATTTCGCTATGTTGGCCAGGCTGGTCTTGAACTCCTGACCTCAGGTGATCTGCCTGCCTCGGCCTCCCAAAGTGCTGGGATTACAGGCATGAGCCACCGCGCCCAGCCAGAATGGTTATTATTAAAAAGTGAAAAAACAACAGATGCTGGTGAGGCTGCAGAGAAAAGGGAGTGTTTATACACTGTTGGTGGGGATGTAAATCAGTTCAGCCACTCTAAAAAGCAGTTTGAAGATTTCTCAAAGAACTTAAAACAGAACTACCATTTGACCCAGCAATCCCATAACTGGGTATATATCCAAAAGAAAATAATCTTTCTACCAAAAAGACACATGTACTTGGATGTTCACTGCAGCACTATTCACACAGCAAAGGCATGGCATCAACCTAGGTGCCCAATAACACCTAGGATTGATGGGCACCTAGGTTGGATTGCTTAAGGAAGAGTTTGAGACCAGCCTGGACCACATAGCAAGACTCTATCGTTATAAAAAATAAATTAGCCAGGCACACATATGCAGTCCCAGCTACGAGGAAGGCTGAGGCAGGAAGACTGCTTGAGCCTAGAGGGTTGAGGCTGCAGTGAGCCATGACTATACCCCTGCACTCTAGCCTGGGTGACAGAGCAAGACCCTGTCTCAATAAATAAAAAATAAAATAAGATATAAATAAAGAAAAATAAAAAACAGAAGAACAGAGACAAGTATCAAGGATGACAATATTTATCTCTAGATGGCAGAATTATTAAGGATATTTACTCTCTTTTTTATGACTTAGTTACAAGTTTTTATTTTCTTAACAATTGGGTACTATTTGCCTAATAAGAACTTAAAAAAAAAAAAAAAATATATATATATATATAATAGATGGCCAGGCATGGTAGCTCATGCCTGTAATCCCAGCACTTTGGGAGGCTGAGGTAGATGGATCACTTGAGCTCAGGAGTTTGAGACCAGACTGGACAACATGGCAAAACCCCATCTCTACAAAAAATACAAAAATTAGCCAGGCGTGGTGGTGCGCGCCTATAGTCACAGCTACTTGGGAGGCTGAGGTGTGAGGATGGCTTGAGCCCATGAGGCAGATGTTGCAGTGAGCCAAGATCATGTCGCTACACTCCAGGCTGGGCAACAGAGCCAGACCCAGTCTCAAAAAAAGAGAGTAAATAAAATTAAATAAAATGTCCAGCAGACACTCCATGTTGGTCTCTAAATAAACACAGATTTTCAAAAAAGAAAAAAATTCTTACAAAACATAAACTGCACATAAATTAGCCAAATTGTTTAGTAACACTGTATCTGAATCTATGACTTGAAATACAAAATACAGAAAAATAGTAAGAGAGCTACTGTCAATCATGAGACAGAGAAAATATCTATATTCCTTGAATTTGACTTCCAGTTTATTACTTTTAGCTAAGACAAGCCACGTCTTGAAATCAAGTCATCTTTGATTTTTCCCTTTTCTTTTGCCACTACCATTCACAGTTGTCACTACCTAAGTATTAAAGATGCCATATCCTCTTTCAGTCTGATATGGAAATCAAAGTAATTAAAATAAGGAAACTCTGTTTTCAGAGTATGAACTTGAAAAGTCTCCTATAATTACAGTGCATGCGTTAATCTATGGCTTTTGTGATATTAACTTTTAGCAGCTCAAAAGCTTGTTTTATTAAATTCCTGGGTCTTAACCAGGGACTTCATAGGTGTGGTTTCTAGATGCCAAGTTCTGAGTTGATGACTATATTCTTTGTGTTTATAAGCCATCCAATGTCATTAACGCAATTAAAAGAATGGTTAAGTGGTCACTTCGGCAGCACATATACTCAAATTGGAACGATACAGAGAAGATTAGTATGGCCTCTGTGCAAAGATGACATGCAAATTCATGAAGCGTTCCATATTTTAAAAAATTAATTAATTAAAAAAATAAAGGAAAGAATGGTTAAAAATGAACATAAGACTCAAGGTGTGTAGTTCTAAAAGGCATTCTAGAAGGCAATTTGGGAATTTGCATCAAAAGCCATAAAAATGTGAATATTTTCAGATTTACAAAAACTTCTAAAAATTAATCTTAAGAAATAATCATGGATATTTACAAAGATTATCCCATAAAAATGTTTATCCCAGGCTGGGCATGGTGCCTCATTCCTATAATCCCAGCACTTTGGGAGGCCGAGGCGGGCAGATCACAAGATCAGGAGTTCGAGACCAGCCTGGCCAACACAGTGAAACCCTATCTCTACTAAAAATACAAAAAATTAGCCAGACGTGGGGCATGGTGGGGCATCTGTAATCCCGGCTGTCTCTTCGCAGATTCTACAAAAAGAGAGATTCCAACCTCCTGAATCAATAAAAAGGTTTAACTCTGTGAGATGAATCTACACATCACAAAGCAGTTTCACAGATAGCTTCTTTCTAGTTTTTATCTACTTGGGAGGCTGAGGCAGGAGAGTTGCTTGAACTCAGGAGGCGGAGGTTGCAGTGAGCCAAGATCATGCCATTGCACTCCAGCCCAGGTGACAGTGTGAGACTCCGTCTCAAAACAAAAACAAAAAAAAAAAAAAGTTTATCCTAGACCTGTTAATATAGGAAAAATAGAAGAGAATCTAAATATTCACTAAGGGACTTATGAAATAAATTATGGCATATTTAGATAATGTAAAACTAAGAAAACTAAAAATTATGTTGGGATTCTTGCAAGATGGCAGCAGTGGTGGCAGTGTTTGAAATGCCTCAAATATTTCCATTAAAACAAAGAAAGTAACCTAGTACCCTTATGAAAACCCAAATAAAAGGTGTAAGACCTTCAAGGTAACACAATCTGTGCAGCAGGAAGCAACAGCACATCTGACTGACCTAAAAACCCCAAAGCGGCTAACAAGACTTAATGGAAATCTAGGACAGCCAATATGAGAAAAGCAGCTGCAACTGGGAGGAGTTTTGCACATTACAACAGTGGGCAAATACACTGGGTCTGCAATAAGGGCTGGAATAGTCTGAGCCCTATGAGTCTCGAAAGTAACCAGGCAAAGCTCCCCTCCAAAAAAAAAAAAAAAAAGCTCCATATCAAAAAGAAACATTGGCAAGAGAATCCAAACTGAGTAGTACAGTTGAGACAAAGGACAGAAGAAGTTCAGATAAAAATGTAAGGCAGGGCCAGGCACAGTGGCTCGTGCCTGTAATCCCAACACTTTGGGAGGCCAAGGCAGTAGGAGTGCTTAAGGCCAAGAGTTCAAGACCAGCCTAGGCAACACAGCAAGACTGTCTCTACAAAAAAAATTAAAAAGATCAGCTGGGCATGGTGGCGTGTACCTGTAATCCCAGCTACTGGGAAGGCTGAGGTAGGAGGATCATCTGAGCCCAGACATTTGAGACTGCAGTGAGCTATATCTGTACCACTCACTCCAGCCTAGGTGACAGGGCAGGACGCTGTCTCCTTAAAAAAAAAAAAAAAAAAAAAAAAAAATGCTGGACACAGTGGCTCACTCCTGTAATCTTAGCACTTTGGGAGGCCAAGAGCAGATCACCTGAGGTCAGAAGTTTGAGACCAGCCTGGCCAACATGGTGAAACCCTGTTTCTACCAAAAAATTCAAAAATTAGCTAGGCATGGTGGCATGCACCTGTAGTCCCAGCTACTGGGGAGGCTGAGGTGAAAGGATCGCTTGAACCTGGGAGGCGGAGGTTGCAGTGAGCCGAGATCAAGCCATTGCACTCAGTCTAGCCTGGCGACAGAGTGAGACCCTGTCTCAAAAAAAAAAAAAAAAAAAAAAAAAAAAGGTAAAAATGGCAGAGAGGAAGAAAGCCAGAACAAAAATCTTTCTTCGTTCACAAAATCATCAGAAGATGGAGCTCTAGACCCATGAATTTGTACACACTACCCTAAACCACTCCTAATTTTAATGTTCAGGAAAACTAATTTCACATAAAAATGAGCAACAGAAAAGAAGAGAGGGTCAAATCCCACACAAAGTTATGTAAGAAAAAGAGACTATAAAACAGATTATAAAAGATCACCAGACAGATAAAACTACATGTCAGATAAAAACTATAACCTACTTTTTAAAAACCAATCAAAAGATATAAAACAAGACCATAAATCAGAATTAGAAAACCTTAGAAATGAGATGACAATTGTAATACAAGAAAAAAAGATCACTTTAGAAATGAAGACTTACTCAGAACAAACACAAACATAAGGAAACATACAGGTATACTTTAAGAGACACAAAAGGTTAAAAAAAATCAAAAGGAAATTAAAAGATAAGAATTTGAAAGAAAATAACAGTAAGAAAGGCAAAGATCCAACATATTTAACATGCACATAACAGAAGTTTCCACAAAAGAAAACCAAAGAAAGAGAATAGAACAAATATTACAAAATACAATTAGATGTTTTAAAAAATTATTTTTGAAACAGCATTATCAAAAGCGTGCACTGTGGGCCGAGCGCAGTAGCTCATGCCTGTAATCCCAACACTTTGGGAGGCCAAGGAGGGAGGATCACTTGAGGTCAGGAGTCTGAGACTAGCTTGGTCAACATGGTAAAACCCCATCTCTACTAAAAAAAAACAAAAATTAGCTGGGCGTGGTGGTGCGTGCCTGTAATCCCAGCTACTCGGGAGGCTGAGGCAGGAGAATCGCTTGAACCCTGGAGGCAGAGGCTGCAGTGAGCCGAGATTGCACTACTGCACGCCCACCTGGGCGACAGAGCAAGACTCCGTCTCAAAAATAAAAATAAAAAAAAAAAGAAGAAAGGGTGCACTGCATACCTGAAATAACTCATGCAGAATGACCAATGCCAAGACATATTCTAGTAAAGGTACTGAACTTAAAAAAAAATCTTTTGGGCATCCAGGCAAAAAGACCAAGTGACATATAAAAGGAAAAAAATTAAGACTATCATTAGGCATTGTCTCAGAAATGCTTCATGCCAGAAATAAAAGGGATAATGTGTTTTTAAGAAACTTGAAACAAATGTGTACTGAAGAGTTTATATCCAATCAAACTAATTTTTAATTATAATGTCCACAAGCTGCTTTCAACATTCAAGAATTTAGAGAATATTGTTCCCAACGGCCCCTTCTAAAGAATTTAAAGAAGTGTAGTGTGGTGGGTCCCCCACTAGGTTATTCGATGATGTATGTCCGCTGCCCGAACTCTGAAGGCCAGGCAATGAGCCAAAGCCATGGTGTACAGTCGAGGAGCAAGCGACCCTGAGAACCAAAGATTTTAGAGAGCATCTGAGACCCTACCAAGGAAAACAGTCTCATTACACACATACAGCAGGCAAAGAGCGAGAAAATTAGCTTAAAAGCAGCTTAGAAATGGGAGGTGGGTAGATCTCTAAAGCTGTCCTGCTTCCCAGGAGTGCCCCATAGGTAACTCCTAACAAACTCACCTACTGGCCATGCTGGACCTGTCCAAGTCATTCTTTGGTCTCTTGACACTCTGGTCATTTGGCACCTTCCCAGTAAGGAGGGAGGGGATGTTACAGTCTCAAGTTTTTCTTGTAATAAGTTTTAGACATCCAAAATAATGAGAGAGGGAAAGAGTTGGGGAAGGTGGAGGTGAAGCAACCATTTTCCCACTACAAAAGCATAGCCTGAAACTAAAGACTGCAAAGTGGGTAATATCATTGAACTGCTAGACCAGCTTTGATCTGTTTATCTATAAAATTTGTGTTATATTAGAAAAATCAAACCCTATCTGTTTTTTTTAATGATACTGTAGAAGAGTATTTAATGACATAGAAAACTGTTCATGATAAATTAATTAAACAAAAAGAGCTAATTATAAAACAGCATGATCTCATTTTCTGTTGTTTTTTTTTTTTTTTTTTTTTTTGGAGACAGAGTCTCACTCTGTCACCCAGGCTAGAGTGCAATGGCGTGATCTCGGCTCACTGCAACCTCTGCCTCCCGGGTTCAAGAGATTCTCCTGCCTCAGCCTCCCGAGTAACTGGAATTACAGGCGTGTGCCACACCCCACGCCCAGCTAATTTTGTATTTTTAGCAGAGATGGGGTTTCACCATGTTAGCCAAGTTGGTCTCAAACTCTCAACCTCAGGTGATCTGCCCGCCTCGGCTTCCCAAAGTGCTGGTATTACAGGCGTGAGCTACCACGCCCAGCCCGTGATCTCATTTTCTAAGGAAAATAAATGTATAAACACCAAAATATCAACAGCAGTTTTCTTTAGATGATAAGATTATAGTGCTTTACATTTTCTGTATTTTCCTCATCATTCCTAACGTACGAGTAAAACCGTGTCATAATAAAGTCTCTCTGGTATTGAGGTTCAAACTGAATTAGAAAATACGAAATTTTATGCTGAAGCAAGTTGTGTTACTGTAGTTCTTCAAAATATTCAGCAAACTCTCCAAAATGAGAACTACAGTTAAAAAAGAAAGCAATTGCACTTTTAATTTTTTTTAACATTTTCTTATTTGGAAATTACACTGACTACAAATTTGTCTTATCTGGACACTCCTGTATTATTATCATTAACATGTTTGATGGAAAAAAAATAAAAACATTCCTCTATTGTTTGGGAGATTAAGGCGGGAGGACTGCTTGAGGCCAGGAGTTCAACACCA
The DNA here is from genome assembly GCF_000001405.40 of Homo sapiens. Taxonomy (NCBI): domain Eukaryota; kingdom Metazoa; phylum Chordata; class Mammalia; order Primates; family Hominidae; genus Homo; species Homo sapiens. The sequence goes on along the minus strand of NC_000002.12, from coordinate 32,209,766 downwards.
GCCTGGGCAACAGAGTGAGACCCTGTCTCTAAACACCAAAAAATCCCTCAATTAGGTAATTGAATTCATGTACATTTTAGACTCTGCTTAACATAACTAGGAATCAAAGGCTCTATAAAAATTTTAAGGAAATATTTTTTTTCAGTTTTAAAAATGGAAGACTATATTTTAAATTATAACTAAAGTCATATGTAAAAGAACATACCAATGAGCCAAAACCTAGGGTCCAAAAATGTTCATTTCGGACTTCTAAAACTCCATCTAAGGTAGATACCTACCAAAAACAGAAAGAGGTGATCAGAGTTGTCTGTACTTAACATATCCAATGCAGTTTAGTCACATTATGGACTTAGTTTAAACTTAAGAATGACAGCCAAATCCTGCACAAGGACACTCATTAGCTAAGAGAAGTCTCAGACCACTCAAGATACCATTCCTGTTTGTTCCATACTGACCCAAGACCTTGCTTTCCTCGTTTCTTGCTTGCCCCAATTCTTTTAGAATCAGGTCCCCACTGCTCAGTTTTAAACCCCTACCCCAACCAATTTCTTCAACAGTGTATGGTTCTTTTCATATCAATATGGAATATATTTATATCTAGCACTTTGTGGTATCAGATTTTTTACTTAATTTTTTTGTTTTCTCAATCACTTCTTTCTCTGAAATCCCTTATAACAAATCTCTGCACAACACAGGATGTTGTTTGGATGTGAGTCTAGAAGAAATTCCAAGGCCAGATATATAGTGTGTAGCCCACTGGTACAGTTGCACAGGACACATACTCAAGGCCAGGCTTCACTAGTTGAGAGTAGTAGCCAGTTATACTGGTAAAAGTGGCCTCTGTCACACTGACAATCAAAGGTTTAAAATAGTTTCAACATCAAAATAGTTCATTATTTTATTTCTTCATTAGTTAGTAGGTGGAAATTTGTAACAACTTAAAAGAAAGTCTAGGCTGGGCATGGTGGCTCATGTCTGCAATTCCAGTACTTTGGGAGGCTGAGGTAGGCAGATCACTTGAGGCCAGGAGTTCGAGTCCAGCCAGGCCAACATGGCGAAACCCTGTCTCTACTAAAAAAGTACAACAATTAGCCGGTGGGAAGCAGAGAACACGGCACTGCACTCCAGACTGGGTGGCAGAGTAAGACCCTGTACCCCCTGGAAAAAAAAAAAAAATCACAGCATTTGACCGGGCACAGTGGCTCATGCCTGTAATCCCAGCACTTTGGAAGGCCAAGATGGGAGGATGGCTTGAGAGCAGGAGTTCAAGACCAGCCTGGTCAACATAGCAAGACCCCATCTCTTTTTATATATATATTTTAAAAAAACAACAAAAGGCTGGGCACAGTGGCTCATGCCTGTAATCCCAGCATTTTGGGAGGTCACAAGGGGCGGATCATTTGAGGTCAGGAGTTCGAGACCAGCCTGGCCAACATGGTGAAACCTCGTCTCTACTAAAAATACAAAAATTAGCCAGGCATGGTGGTGGGAGCCTGTAATCCCAGCTACTCAGGAGGTTGAAGCAGGAGAATCGCTTGAACTCAGGAGGCGGAGGTTGCAGTGAACCAAGATCATGCCACTGCACCCCAGCCTGGGTGATAGAGCAAGACTCAGTCTCAAAAAAAACAAAAAACAGGCTGGGCACGGTGGCTCACACCTATAATCCCAGCACTTTGGGAGGCCGAGGCGGGTGGATCACGAGGTCAAGAGATTGAGACCATCTTGGCCAACATGGTGAAACCCCGTCTCTACTAAAAATACAAAAGTTAGGCCGGGCCTGGTGGCTCATGCCTGTAACCCCAGCACTTTGGGAGGTCGAGGTGGGTGGATCACGAGGTCAGGAGTTCAAGACCAGCCTGGTCGAGATGGTGAAACCCTGTCTCTACTAAAAATACAAAAATTAGCCAGGCATGTGGTGGGCGCCTATAATCCCAGCTGCTTGGGAGGCTGAGGCAGAAGAATCACTTGAACTCAGGAGGCGGAGGTTGCAGTGAGCCGAGATTGTGCCACTGCACTCCAGCCTGGGCGACAGAGCGAGACTCCATCTCAGAAAAAAAAAAAAAAAAAAAAAAAATACAGAAGTTAGTTGGGCGGGCCAGGCGCTGTGGACATGCCTGTAATCCCAGCACTTTGGGAGGCCGAGGCGGGTGGATCACAAGGTCAGGAGTTCAAGACCAGCCTGGCCAACACAGCGAAACCCTGTCTCCACTAAAAATACAAAAATTAGCTGGGTATGGTGGCTTGCATCTGTAGTCCCGGCTACTCAGGAGGCTGAGGCAGGAGAATCACTTGAACCTGGGAGACGGAGGTTGCAGTGAGCCAAGACGGCACCATTGCACTCCAGCCTGGGCGACAGAGCAAGACTCTGTCTCAAAAAAAAAAGAAAAAGTTAGCTGGGCATGGTGGCACGCGCCTGTAGTCTCACCTACTCAGGAGGCCGAGGAAGGAGAATTGCTTGAGCCTGGGAGGTGGAGGTTGCAGTGAGCTGAGATTGCGCCACTGCACTACAGCCTGGCAACAGAGCAAGACTGTCTCAAAAAAAAAATAACTAAATAACTAAATAAAATAAATAAAAATCATAGCATTTATAATAGGGTGGTCATTAGGCCATTACCTTCCACATTCACTTCAAGTGAATTTGATTTCCAAATTGAACAATTCCTCATATTTTTCCACGTTTGCCACTATATTATGGCTCCTAGTATGTTATTGTGAAGAACATGAACTTCCCTCAAATAAAATTCTAGGTAGAGTTGAATAAAGTATTAAAAGTATCCACCTTTTCAATTCCCTGATATAAAATAAAATGATTTTATTTACTATTCCATCTTACCTCTCTGATGAGTTTGTCCAACTGACCAATAACATGGGGTGGTGTTGTCTGGGGAAAAATACAATAAAATATGAATAATGGGGGAAGGAAAAAAGTTTGCCAACAATGGTCCTGAACCCCCTCCCCAAAAGGATTTTAAGCCAGCCTTTGCTTTGACAGCTGTCCTATCATGATTTAGAGAAGAGAGGTTTCAACTGGCCCCACTAGTGGAACAACATCATCAACTGGCCCACACCTGTTTTTTTATCTTGAAGATAAGATAAAAAGATAAATAACACTTAAACAACCAACCAACCAACAAAAAATCTTTGGGAAATGGTTACAAAGGTCGTATTTTGTATAGGGCATAGCACTATGCAACTATTATCTTATTTTTATTTTTTCTGGAGATGGAACTACTGCCCTAAGTCTTGGAAAAGGCATAGGGTAAGACAGAAGGAACCACAGTGCTTACACGCACATCCGGCCCTGGGAAACTGCCTTTTTTTTTTTTGGAATCTCGCTCTGTCGCCCAGGCTGGAATGCAGTGGCGCAATCTTGGCTCACTGCAAGCTCCGCCTCCCGGGTTCAAGCCACTCCCCTGCCTCAGCCTCCTGAGTAGCTGGGACTACAGGCACTCGCCACCATGCCCGGCTAATTTTTTGCATTTTTAGTAGAGATGGGGTTTCACCGTGTTAGCCAGGATGGTCTTGATCTCCTGACCTCGTCATCTAACCACCTCGGCCTCCCAAAGTGCTGGGATTACAGGCATGAGCCACCGCGCCCGGCCGGAAACTGCCTTTCTATTCATATTCAGGGTGTTCCTATCATTTCAGTAAGTAGCAATGTGTCATTTAAGATTTTAAGTTTGAAATTTTAAAGTCTCACTGATTCAGTGGCAGGAAATAATAAAATAGTCATAAGCAGATTACACAAAAGCCAAAGCACATTTACTGAGGGAAAATAAATATCTAAAAAAAATTTCAGGCCGGGTGCAGTGGCTCACGCCTGTAATCCCAGCACTTTAGGAGGTTCAAGGCGGGTGGCTCACCTGAGGTCAGGAATTTGAGACCATCCTGGTCAATGTAGTGAAACCCCAGCTCTACTAAAAATACAAAAATTAGCCAGGCGTGGTGGCACATGGCTGTAGTCCCAGCTACTCGGGATGCTGAGGTAGGAGAATCGCTTGAACCCAGGAAGCAAAGGTTGCAGTGACCTGAGTGTAGCGCCACTGCACTCCAGCCTGGTCAAGAGAGAGAGACTCTGTCTCAAAAAAAAAAAAAAAAAAAAAAGAAGTAACATTCTTTTCACTTGAAAAATAATAATAGCTTTAAATTTGTGATTTTGTCACAATATAAATATAGGAAGATTTGTGACTATTTTACTTGCTAATGGACTTTCATCAGGTTCTGACTATATGAATGTCAGAGATTATTGTTTGACTTCATTTCTAGCAGGGGCTTCCAGTAACTAAAAATTTCACAATCTGTACTGTTAAAGGGAGGGCATTAAAAAAAATGTTGTTTTGTTTTTTTGAGATGGAGTCTTGCTCTGTCACCCAGGCTGGATGCAGTGGTACAATGTCAGCTCACTGCAACCTCCGCCTCCCGGGTTCAGGCAATTCTCCTGCCTCAGTCTCCCGAGTAGCTGGGATTACAGGTGCACGCCACCACGCCCAGCTAATTTTTGTATTTTTTTAGTAGAGACAGGGTTTCACCATGTTGGCCAGGCTGGTCTCGAACTACTGACATTGTGATCTGCCCGCCTTGGCCTCCCAAAGTGCTGGGATTACAAGCGTGAGCCACCTCTCCTGGCCAAAAAACTTTTGTAATTAAAAATTATGACTGGGCACGATGGCTCTCGCGTATAGTCCCAACACTTTGGGAGGCCGCAGCAAGAGGATCATTTGAGCCCAGGAGTTTGAGATCAGCCTGGGCAACATAGTGAGAGCCCATCTCTACAAATATTTTTAAAAATTAGCTGGGTGTGGTGGTGTGTGCCTGTAGTTTGTTACTCAGGAGACTGAGGTGGGAGGGTCCTTTGAGCCTGGGAGGTCAAGGCGGCAGTGAGCCGAGATCCCACCACTGTACTCCAGTCTAGGTGACAGAGCAAGGACCTGTCTCTAAAAAAAAAAAAAAAAAAATTAAAATTAAAAAATAAAAATAAAAATTTCACAATCTTGTAGAACAACACATACAACTTTTTAATCTGGTAGAAGAACATGGCTAATATTAAGCACGTGCATTGGAAGAAGCACCTTACCTGGAGTAAGACTTTCCCACTGTACACACTCATGGGATACATAGTGCCAAATGTCATCAAGGCAATAGCTATAGCAGAGGCAGTGTCTACGGCAAAATAATTACTAAAAGGAAAAAACAATTCTAAATTTTAAATTTATATCTCACTGGGCATATTACAATTAAATCTCCTGAACATTAATTATCTAAAGCAACAGGACTGAGCAACAGGACACAATTTTATCACAATTGGCCACTACTTGCAAAGAAACATTTCAAAGAAAAATACTCCAGTTTTTAGAATTCTTTCCTTTCAAAGTTTAGTGGAAAAATAACTAATAATTATGTTAATTAGTAGGAAGAGGTATGATGAAAAAAAATGTGGACATTTCCCCGTCAGGCATTTTTTTGTCAAACTATCTGTCAACTAGAAAGAGCTGAAATATGTTTATTTGCTTGAGACAGACAAAAAACTTCAACTAGTAATTTTTTTTTAAAAAGAGACAATAAAAAGAGGTTTTTTAATTCAAAGGTATAACTGGTAAGTAGATCTGTTTACAATCATTCTTGTGAAATACTTTTTAAAAAAATATGACCAATTTATTTGCAAATAGCAGACACATACCTCAACTATGATGACCTAATTTTTGGTGCATAATATACATGATTAGGCAGAAATAGGCAACCTCATACTGGTAGATTAACTATCAAATAGTCAAAACTCCGTTTGTGGCTCCCACTTCTTGATCGATTTCTATTCCCTCTTCATCTTCTACCATCTTGTCAACTTCCTGAGCGACTCCCTTGTGGACTCTGTCTAACTGACCGGCTGCCAGATCGACCACCTGATCGGCCCGACTGGCCACTTGACCAACCACTCCTCTGTCTGGAATTAGAAGATGTGTTTCTATCATAATATTCTTCAATTTCAGGTAATTTGGCTGGCACTGAGAATATCCAGTCGGAATCATGCCACTCTGCCTGTAACCTTTCTGACTTAGTTGTAGGAACATCAAAGCAAACACGCACATTTCCTTTCAGGAGGCACATTCTGGTAATCTGAGACACTGCATTACTACTCAGCTTTCTGTTAAGTTCTTTCCAAGCACAGCTGACATCCTGTATTTCCTCTAGGCTTTCCAGAGTCATGGTCACAAATCCCTATCAGAGGTGATCAAAGATCGTGGTTCAAAGCCTGATGCACCAGAAATGTGGGCTAAAGCTGCAGCCAATGCATCCACTGCCCCTTTCTCTTCTGTCAGTATCTGAGCTGATGGTTGGAAAAAATCAACAGCAGCATAAGAAACAGAAGCCAGAGACCTTATGGCATCCGTGCTTTTAGATTTAACTAAATCCATTGTAGAAGGAATACCTACACATTTAAAAGTAATTCCTACTTTTTGTTCCACATATCTTAGTTGACCTCTTTCTCTTGGTTGATAAAAACATATACAAATCCCTGTCTGTCCAGCTCTACCTGTGCGTCCAGAACGATGGATATAGACTCAACATCCTGAGGAGGAGAACCATGAATCACCAGGTCAACTTCAGGAATGTCCAAACCACAGGCAGCCACGTTGGTTGCCACCAAAACTTTAAAACTACCTTCTCTGAAGTCTTTTAGTGTAAATTCTCTTTGTGACTGTGCAATGTCCCCATGTAAACACTGGGCATTCTGTTTTATGTGTGGATTCATGGCTATTTCAGTTACACTCCTCTGGGTCTCACAGAAAATAATAGCCGTCCCTTCAGACCCACTGTAGACTTGAAGGACATCTCCAGTAACTGCTGGCCTCTGAGACCAATGACACCGGATGGCCAAATGTTCCACAGAAGCTGCAGCCTTTTGAGTCATTTTTCCAAAAACATCAATCTGTTCGTATCTGGATTTCACTCATTTTTTTGCAACTTTGCATACCCACTGTGGGCGAGCTGCAGAAAAAAGTAAAGTCTGAGGACTGTCTTCAGAATCAGTTTTGTAGAATTCATGAATAATATCTTCAACTTGTTCAGCAAAACCTAACTCTAACATTTGATCCACTTCATCAAGCACAACATGGCACAGTTTAGAAAGATCCAATCAGAGCTGGGCACAGTGGTTCACGCCTGCAATCCCAGCACTTTGGGAGGCCGAGATGGGCAGATCACAAGGTCAGGAGATTGAGACCATCCTGGCTAACACGGTGAAATCCCGTCTCTACTAAAAATACAAAAAAAAATAGTCGGGGGTGGTGGCGGGTGCCTGTAGTCCCAGCTACTTGGGAGGCTGAGGCAGGAAAATGGTGTGAACCCGGGCGGCGGAGCTTGCAGTGAGCCGAGATCCAGCCTGGGCGACAGAGCGAGATTCTGTCTCAAAAAACAAACAAACAAACAAACAAACAAAAAACTGTTTCTTGATCTCTTTGGAGTCTTTCAATCAAAGGGATCGCAAAATAGAATGTCTTTCTTTCCTGTTCCCGTCTGTGCTTGAGCTATTAAATCTTTTCCTTCATATACAGGACCAAAGGTCTTAACTTGAACAGGAAAGAGAGATGTTACCCCTCAACCTTTCAGAAGCTTTATAGTCTCTTCAGAAATAGGAAGATTGGAGAAGGTTCCTTCTTTCTGTTCATGTGTTAAGGTCTCCTCTAGCTTCTTATCACTTGATTCATGAGTAGAACTATCTAAGGATGATACTTGCTTTTTTTTTTTCATATTCATCAATATCTCATTCAGTAGATCTTTTCTTCTTGACTTATGAGATTTAGAGAATTCATCTGAAAGTCTATTAAATCCTTCTTCAGTGTCTCCATTTAGCTTCTCTTTCATTTTAATTTTTTTGGTCTTGGGAGCATCCAGGTAATCTGTAACACCATTTTCTCTTGTTTCTGATTTCTCATCTGAGTCATAATGGTGGCTTGACTTCCTTCTGTCACTCCAGCACTGTGTAATGTATTTTCAGCTTATCTTGTTTAAATCTTCATAAAAACCATATAAGGGAAGTACAGGTCCATAATCCATTAGCCGAAACTGTGATATCCATAAAGCTCTTCTGCCTCTCCTTCTTCTGGCTCTCGGACTCCTCCAAGGGTGCTTCCAGTTCCATAATGTACCCCCAGAGGAGTTTCCCAGGCATTACTGGCCACTGCTGCCTCCCTCCGGGCACAGTGGCCACAACCACCTACATGCAGCAAAAACGTGAAAGGAAACAGGGGCAGGGCAGCCACTCAGCCGTGGCTGTGTGTCATTCAACTAGTAATTTTTGATACAGAAAGACTAATGGAATCTATCAGTAATTATATCAAGTTTCCAGTGAGCGATAATTATTTCTAATAAGACTTCAAATTCCCCAGGAATTTCACCAGGTAAGATTCTCCAGGAATTTTTTATGGTAACACTGTAGTCAACATCAACAATTCAAACTGGCTGAAGTTCTACCAACAATACAGACCAAAATGCCAATAATTACAAGCTGATTGTGCACTCTTTTCTACTTTTCCCCACATGCTAGAAATAGAAATGTGAATGAGACACAATCCTTGCCCTAGAAATAACAGGAGATACACATGTGAAAAACATAATGAAGCACTTTGGGCACTAAGGCAGAAATGTCTACAGAGTACCATGGCCGCACAAAAGATTGAGTGACAAGGCTCCTGGGGTGGAGATAATCCAGAAGGTGACATTTGGGCAGAGACTTCAAAGATAGGCAAGTGAAAGCAGCATGTGCAGGGGCATGAAAACCCTGACCCAGCAATAAAACCACAAATGGTCAGGAATAGATAGATGGATGGTTAGTAAGGTTGGTAGGGGCCTGATTACTCAGGACTCTGTGCTGACAACTTCAATTTTTGCAACTATGCAAAGGGGAGGGTTTTATTATTATTATTATTATTTTTTTCTTTATTGATCATTCTTGGGTGTTTCTCGCAGAGGGGGACTTGGCAGGGTCACAGGACAACAGTGGAGGGAAGGTCAACAGACAAACAAGTGAACAAAGGTCTCTGGTTTTCCTAGGCAGAGTGTTTGTGTCCCTGGGTACTTGAGATTAGGGAGTGGTGATGACTCTTAACGAGCATGCTGCCTTCAAGCATCTGTTTAACAAAGCACATCTTGCACCGCCCTTAATCCATTTAACCCTGAGTGGACACAGCACATGTTTCAGAGAGCACAGGGTTGGGGGTAAGGTCATAGATCAACAGGATCCCAAGGCAGAAGAATTTTTCTTAGTACAGAACAAAATGAAAAGTCTCCCATGTCTACTTCTTTCTACACAGACACAGCAACCATCCGATTTCTCAATCTTTTCCCCACCTTTCCCCCTTTTCTATTCCACAAAACCGCCATTGTCATCGTGGCCCGTTCTCAATGAGCTGTTGGGTACACCTCAAGGGGAGGGTTTTGAAACAGGAATATATTATCTCCAAACTAGCAATTTTGAATGATCACATTAGTGACAAAATAAAAGGTAACTAGCAATGGATAAGAATGAAAACTAGAAGACCAGAGGCTATTCTAATTAGGCCAAAGAAATGATGATAAAGGTCTTAATAGGGACAGCAGCAATGAGAATGGGAAAGAGGGGACAAATAAACATATATATATGTTTATATATATATATCAACACATATTTTATATTTGTGTGTGTGTGTGTGTGTATATATGTCTCATATATATATAACCTCCTCCACTTCCTGGGTTCAAGCGATTCTCCTGCTTCAGCCTCCCAGGTGGTTGGGATTACAGGTGTGCATCACCACGCCCAGCTAATTTTTGTATTTTTAGCAGAGACGGGGTTTTGCCATGTTGGCCAGGCTGGTCTTGAACTCCTGACCTCAGGCGACCCAGCCGCCTCGGCTTCCCAAAGTGCTGGGACTACAGGTGTAAGCCACCGCACCCAGCCAAATAAATAAATATTAATAAACAATTACACAAGGCTTGGAGACGAATTAGAAATGGCTTGGGGAGTGGTGAGAGAGGAGGAGGGAGGAAAAGTGGGTATTAATGATGCACTGGAGTTCCTCAAAAAACTAAAATATTGGGGGGATGTGGGGGATGGTTAATGGATATAAAAATATAGTTAGAATAAATAAAATCTACTATTTGATAGCAAAACAGGGTTACTACAGTCAACAATAATTTATTGTACATTTTAAAATAAACAAGAGCATAATTAGAACACAAAGAAAAAATACATCCTTGAGGTGATGGATACCCCATTTACCCTGATGTGATTATTATGCACTGTATGCCTGTATCAAAATATCTCATGTACCCCATAAATATATATACCTACTATGTGCCTACAAAAATAAAAAATTAAATAAATTAGATAAATACAGAATTATCATATCACATGACCCAGTAATTTCACTTCTGGGTATATACCCACACGAACTGAAAGGAAGGACTCAGATATTTGTACACTCGTGTTCACAGTGGTATTATTCACAATAGTCAAAGAAATGCAACCAATTCAAATATCCACTGATGGATAAATGGGTAAACAAAATGCATTGTTTACCCATTATGCATTGGAAAATGTGATTCAGCATTCCAATTAAAAAGGAAGGAAATTCTGACATGTTACAACATAGATGAACCTTGAGGACATTATGCTAAGTGAAATAAGCAGACACAAAAGAACAAATATTATATGATTTCATTTCTGTGAAGTACTTAGAGAAGTCAAATTCCTAGAGACAGAAACTAGAATGGTGGTTTCCAGGGGCTGTGAGGAGGAGGAAAAGGAAAGCTGCTTAATGAGCATGGAATTTAAGGAAGGCAGGAGGAAAAAGGTTCTGGAGATGGATGGTGGTAATGGCTGCATGCAATGTCACCAAATTGTACACTCAATGTAAATAAAAAACTCTATGTTGGGATTACAGTCATGAGCCACCGAGGCAGGTGGATCACCTAAGGTCAGGAGTTCAAGACCAGCCTGGCCAACATGGCAAAACCTCATCTCTATTAAAAATACAAAAATTAGCCAGGTGTGGTGGCAGGTGCCTCTAATCCCAGCTACTCAGGAGGCTGAGGCAGGAGAATTGCTTGAACTCGGGAGGTGGAGGTTGCAGTGAGCTGAGATCATGCCATTGCACTCCAGCCTGGGCACCAAGAGCGAAACTCCATCTCAGAAAAAAGCCAACTCTATATTATGTATATTTTAATGCAATTTAAAATAAGAATGCATTGGCATAAATGACAGTATTTTTCTTGTATCTCCCATTCACTGAGATGGGAGATAGAAGAAAAAACAGTTTCAGAGTTAAGGGAAAATAGGTTCAGTTAAAGTAGACACCTATAGAAGTCAGGAAGATACGCCTTTTGGAATTCAATAGAGATGTGGGCTAGAAATAAAAATCTAGGAATCCCACAGAAGTAGCAAACAAAAACAAATACTTGCATGTGATTTTTAAGGAAAATACATAAAACAGCAAGAACAATAAGGACAAATTCTAGTAAAGACTAATATTTAAAAGGTGGGTAGCCAAAGAATCATATGCCATAACATGTTAAGCTTAAAGCAGCTGTAAAGCCTATTTCCTAAAAGGCTTTATTTTTAAAAAATTGTTTCACGCCTACGTCCTCTTCTCCTCCCTCTCTCGGCAATAGCAGTGGTGGCTCAGATCTCTTTCTTACTGTTCTCTTTTCTGTTTCACTCATCAGGTCAGCAGTAGGGAATTTAAATTGTTTTCCAGTCTGCATTATACATTGTGGTAAGAAATACTTATTGAACCCAATCCCCTTAATTTTTCAGATGAAGACACCTAAGGAAAAGATGTGATCTAAGTTACACAGGACATAAGCGAAACTGCTAGAAGCTTGACCACTATCCATCCTGCTGATGCCCTTAAAAGTAAGTCCCCAGAAATCAAAACATACTTGACAACAATAAAAAATACTCACTTAATTTCAATGAGCATATATGTAATACAAAGAGCAAATGCTCCAGCAAGATCAATCAAAACAAATGGATTCATTCGGGGAAGGAAGATACTGCTAAGTCCCGGAATAATTCCACACAAGCTAAGAAAAAACAAACAGAAAGAGTATCCATTAGCAGAACTCACATAAAACTGGTGACAACCTTGTAAAAGATAACTTGTATTTTGGTACCACATAGTGTACTTCTTAAAGAAAGCAAAGAGGATTTGTGAACAAAGCCCTTTCATTTATAAAGTTCTCTTTTGTATCAATTAAAAAGTAAAGGGAGAATAACAATCTGACCTGTGTGATTCACGTAGTAACCTCAGCAACGAATAATTTAAGTTCCCATGATAGATGCATTTCTTGTGTATTCCTTTAAATTATGCATATCATGAAACTCCATAACATCTTACCTTCGACTAAGATCTGCAACATGCTCTTGAAGCCAGCTCGTACTAGCAGCTTTAAGAAGAAAATACTTAAATTATCTATATAGAAGAAAAAAAAACCACTACCTGAAATATTTGAGTTCTTTAATTTTAAAAAATAAATTTGGCAGTGACTGAATAACATTACAAAAGAACATGCTACTCCTCAAATCTATAAATGTTTCCTCTTTTATGCCCTTATGCCACTAATTCAAAAGCAGTTTCAACTATTATACAATATACAGTTGACCTGAAGGAATTTATGTCATTGTTACTATTAATTTAAGGTTTTAAAGGTTCTTTACACTTTTTCTTTTGAGATGGAGTTTTGCTCTTTCTGCCCAGGCTGGAGTGCAGTGGTGCCATCTCGGCTCACTGCAACCTCTGTCTCCCGCGTTCAAGCAATTCTCCTGCCTCAGCCTCCCATGTGGCTGGGATTACAGGCACGTGCCACCACACCTGGCTAATTTTTTATTTTTAGTAGAGACGGGGTTTCACCATGTTGGTCAGGCTGGTCTTGAACTCCTGACCTCAGGTGATCCACCTGCCTCGGCCTCCCAAAGTGCTGGGATTACAGGTGTGAGCCACCATGCCCAGCAGTTCTTTATACTTTTAAGCAGAGCTTCCTAACTAGTGTGCTGAGAACGGGCCATAGGTACAGGCTGAGGATCCCAAATCTGAAAACCAAAAATCCACAACTTTGAGCACCAACATGATACTCAAAGGAAATGCTCATAGGAGCGTTTCGAATTTTAAATTTTCAGGTTTGGGATGCTCAACCCATACATATAATGCAAACACTCCGAAATCTAAGACAATCTAAAATGTGAAACACTTCTGGCCCCAAGCATTTCAGATAAGGGATATTCAAACTACATACAAATTAATTCCCTCAACTCTCAAAAAAGCCAGGTGAGAACCTGGGTACCTACCTGGCTAGAATTAAATAGGTTATTCTATGTAAAGTATTTAGCAGTGCTTGGCATATAGAAAGTACTTAATATTATTTCCCACTCAAATTTCAAGTAATTTCACAAATCTTTTTTCTTTTTTTTTTGTTTTGAGATGGAGTTTCACTTTTGTCACCCAGGCAGGAGTGCAATGACGTGATCTCGGCTCACTGCAACCTCCGCCTACCGGGTTCAAGGGATTCTCCTGCCTCAGCCTCCCAAGTAGCTGGGATCACAGGCGCCTGCCACCATGCCCGGCTAATTTTTATAATTTTTTAGTAGAGACAGGGTTTTGCCATGTTGGCCAGGCCGGTCTCAAACTGCTGACCTTGTGATCCGCCTGACTTGGTCTCCCAAACTGCTGGGATTACAGGTGTGAGCCACCAGACCCAGCCTTCATTTTTTTTTAAAGCCAGAGTCTTGCTATGTTTCCCAGGCTGAACTCAAACTCCTGAACTCAAGCAATACAACCACCTCAGCCTCCTGAGTAGCTGGGACTAGAGGCACATGCTACCAAGCCCAGCTAATGTCACAAATCTTGATGTTTCTGGGAACCTCCATTTCCAGCTAATGAAAATATAAAGTAGGCTGGGAGCAGTGGCTCACGCCTGTCGTCCCAGCACTTTGGGAGGCTGATGTGAGAGGACTGCTTGAGCCCAGGAGTTTGAGACCAGCCTGGGTAACACAGGTAGACTTTGTCTCTATTAAAAAATAAATAAATAAATAAATATAATATAATATAATAAAAATATAAACTAGATAACTTTTCTGGAAATAAATTTGGCAATATACAACAAAGCCTTTGAAAAATACTGTATTTTTAATCCAGTAAATAATTCCTTCTCGGGGAATTTATCCTACAGAAAGAATAAAAAATGCAGACGAAGTTGATCTAAAGAGGCTGATTATAGAGTTATTTATAAAAGGAAAAGTTAGAAATGTATAAAATATTTTAAAATATTCATAACAATATTATGCAAACATTAAAAAATCATTTACATTCAAAGAGTATTTAATGAGAAGCAATACTGAAGACATAATGCTAATCAAAAAGCCAGACATGGCCGGACGCAGTGGCTCACACCTGTAATCCCGGCACTTTGGGAGGCCAAGGTGGACAGATCACCTGAGGTCAGGAGTGAGACCAGCCTGGCCAACATGGGGAAACCCCGTCTCTGCTAAAAATACAAAAATCAGCCAGGCATGGTGGCACATTCCTGTAACCCCTTGAACCAAGGAGGCAGAGGTTGCAGTGAGCCAAGATTGCGCCACTGCACTCCAGCCTGGGCAAGAGAGTGAGACTCCGTTTCAAAAAAAAAAAAAAAAAAGCCAGGCATAAAACTGTAATATATACAATTCTAAGTAAGCACATAAAATTATATGTACGTGTGCATACAAAAAAGTGGAAGGAATAACATAGAAATGTTAACATATTATCTGTGGGTCATAAGATTATCAGTAGTCTTATTTCCTTCTTGTATCTCCCTGATCTTTACAGGGAAACAGTGTTTCTAAATCTTTGCACCATCTTAAAAATTTCTAGAGTAAGTGTTATAGTATTTTATAAATTATGAATTTTTTTCAAGAAATTCTAGTGATCTTAATTATCATTATTTAATTTTCTAATTCATGCAGTACTTCTTTAACTCATACAAACACAATTTATCTTCATAACATTCATGAAGTTGTTTAAACTTGAATGGGCATTTCAGAAAACTTTCTTCTCTTGACTATCCTAGAGTGAGATCTAAAAAGATCCACACCTATCTGTGCTTCTCTATACTTCAAAGTGTGGGTCTGTGCACACATCCCACTTCTATTTTCACCTCACTTCTCCATCTCTTAGTGGCTAACTCTTTTGTGGGTTAGTGGGATTCCAAAACACTGAAATTATTGAAAAAAGAAAATAATTTAGACTGCAAAAGTGAAAAATCAGTCTGAAGTTGTAAATACTTCAAAATAAAAGAATATTTCCAAAGAAATAAAGTTTGGCTACTTGCAAACATATATGCCCATCCACCATTGCCAAAGAGAAGTTCCTGGGAACTTACTTTATTAACAGAATACAATTATTTTCAATTAGCATATCAACTAAGAATTCTAAGTATACTGATACTTCTAAAATGCTTACAATAGACTTTTCTTAGATAGATTACACATTTAGAATCTCACATTATTTGGTAAATGTAATTTTTCATCACCACATGATTTAATTTACAGGTCACTCCTGCCTGTTTTAAAATAATTTGTTATTTTAAAGCTTGAACTAATGAGATTTTGTTTTATAATTTTCCACTTAAAAAAGACTTGAGAACATTTGGGCTAGTTCTCTCTTGTCTTCAGAATATACTTCTTCATTGATCTGAGTGAACGAAACAAACAAAAGGCTTGTTTTTATGAGAGATTAGTTGGATTTTTAAATTAATAGTAAATAAAAAACATACCTTCTGAGACATAAGCAAAAGGTTTATTCCGAATAGAAAGCATCGTGAACAGGTTGAAACAAAGAGCCACAAAAGTACCAACTAATAATCTTCCCCTAAAAAGAACAACGATAACATTCACCTTTAATTTGTTCTTGGTATTATCAGTATGTAATTTCAATACGTAGAGGGACTAAGAGGTGGGAAGGTAAAGTGGTCTGCTTTAATGATTTGGTGTTTCCAGATACAGAATCTGAACTTAGTTACTAGCCCCATCACCCATGTCCCATCTACTGTTGCTCCATCTTACAAAGGATAAGTAAGGACTTTTAGCATTAACAGTATCTTGCTACAGGTAAACGCTGTTATAAATCTGTATAAATATCAATGGTATTTGTTTTACGATATACTGGACAAGTCAGACTTTGTGGAATTAAACTGATCAGAATAGATAAGGTCCATATAGTTGGCAGCTCTGTGGTTGAGAAATACAATTGTTTTTTCATATATATGATACATACAATTCTCTTTTCATATATATATGAAAATCACATAGTTGCAATATATATGAAACATATATACGTTTCTTTTTTTTGGAGACAGGGTCTCACTCTGTTGTCCAGGTTGGTCTTGAACTCCTGAACTCAAGCGATCCTCCTGCCTTAGCCTCCCAAAGTGCTGGGATTACACTGAATCCCTGAGCCTCGTCCAATTCTCTTTTCTACAGGTGCTATGCAAAGATTTTGAAGGTCAAATTTGAAATTACAGAAGACTAGGGGAAGCTGGGTTAGTGTTTCCTAGGCCTGGAAATAATGAGAAGCCTGAAGCCAAGATAGAAAGGCCTTCCTGTGTAGTATAAAAATATTTAGAACTTGGGAACTGTTAAGAGTAAAGAAACGGAGTCTTAGTATTAGGGAATTTTGTTTGTGAAATACCAGCAAAAACGTTATGTTGCCACAGTCTGAAATCTGACATTGGCCAACTGTTTAATAATACATCAATTAATAATTAAGAATCAATAGTAAATTATATATTGAAAATAAAATCTCACGTGTGTATCTCGGGCTGTTCCAAAAAGCGTTCTGCACTATAAGAAATAAAAATATATTAAATAAGTCCTATAAATTATAAAGTTAAAAAGCTTTATTAAATATATCATTCACCCACCTTAAAGTTCACAAAATCTTTTAATATTATAACTATTAACTATTAGCAGTGATGAGGCAAGGAGACTCATAAATTATCCTTTTTAGTTGTTTTCTTTTTTCACAAATTATCCTTAATATGTAATGTCTATCTTTCTCTGCCAAGCCTATTTCAATGGGTTTGTAATAAGCATCAAACATGCCTGACTGAATCTCTGTTTCATTCACAACCACTTCTGATTCAATTTAGTAGCATTAAGGAAGGAAGTAAAAAAAATGAAACAGAAGAAAAAGTCTGAAACATAAAGAAAGTGTACTATCAAAACTCCAGCCCTGCTCATCTAAGTTTTCATACCCTTGAAAGCAAATGTGTCTGACGGGTTTCTTTCATGTTCCCAAAGGTGTCATGGGGGGATTTAGAATAATATCCTATACAAATGTACCTTTCTTTTAATATAAAGAGAGCTCCCAACTGTGCCAAGACTGTGGAGGCAAATACAGCCAGGACTTCTAATCTTTCAAACCTGAAACCAAAACATTAATTAGATCATCACAATTCTTTCAATTCACAAACCAGTCTCTCTAGAACACATTTACATTCATTTATTTGCTCACTTAATATACATATGTGCTGTCTACTATGAGCCCAACACTGTTAGAGCAGATTAGGGTTTCTAGAATAATAATAAACAATGAAAATCACAGATTCCAAGGAGTACCTATTTGTACAATTCCTAGGACTCAGAAGAGAGAGCACCTTCAGCCCATGTCAGAGGCTTTCTCTTTCCAGAAAAACTTTAAAATGATTAAAAAAAAAAAAAAGACAATTACCAGGACCCAATTATAGTCCTTATTTTCTAGAAATAATCACAATCATAATAATAACACTTAATTGACCCACTGTGCGTTAGACACCAGAGTGCTTAACATATTACCTCATCTAAACCTCCCAACCCCTTATTAGAATTACTTTATCCACTTTTTTCTTTTTTTCAAGAGATGGGGGTCTCACTATGTTGCCCAGGCTGGACCCTGAACTCCCAGGCTCAAGTAATCCTCCCAGCTGCTCAGCCTCCCGAGTAGATGGGACTACAGGCATGTGCCACCACACTTGGCTCATTTTTTTTTCCCAAACAGATAAGAAGTTTAGGACACGAAGAAGAAAAGTAACTGTTTAGAGTCATATAGATAGCAAGTAGAAGGTTTTCAAACTCAAACACTCTGACACTAGAATTCAGATTTTAACCACTTATTATACTGCCTCTCATTTCTATACATAATTACAGTGAATTATGAATATATTTTATAATCCCTAGACTATAAGCCAGAGGCCAGGAACTGTTGTTTTAGTTTTTCCTGCAACACATGGTCTAATGGTATTCAATATTTATGGTAAGTATAAATGCTTAAAATTTTTCAAGAAAATAATCACGGAGGCACAGAAAAGACAAAAAAATTAAGACTGTACATCACATTGTTATTTGTAAAGGAAAAATGCTGGAATCAACAATAGAACATTATATATTGTTAAACAAAAAAAGTATTTATTGACATGGAAAAAGGTGAGTGAAAAAAGTAGGTTATGATAGAATACAAATTAAGTGTTGTTTTCCAGCTACTGAAAAAATAAAAAAGAACAGGAAAAAACAGTATGCAAATGCACCAATGTTATTTGTGGAAGGTGAGAAGCTGATATTAAAATGCATATGGAACTGCAAAATGTGAAGGAAGGCAAAGATAACCTTGAAGAAGAACGAAGCTGGAAGATTTATACTACCAGATATCAATAGGTATTTCAAAGCTGCAATAATTGACATAGTGCAGTACTAATCCAAGTACAAATACACCAAATTGTACAGAAAAGAGAATCTAGAAACAGACCTACACATATATAGTCCACTGATTTGTGAAAAATGTGGCACATAAAAGCAGTAAAGAGCCAGGCGCGGTGACTCACACATGCAATCCCAGCACTTTGTGAGGCCGAGGCAGGCACATCACTTGAGGCCAGTTCAAGACCAGCCTGGCTAACATGGCGAAACCCAGTCTCTACTAAAAATACAAAAAATTAGCTGGGCGTGGTGGTGCGGGCCTGTAATCCCAGCTGCCTGGGAGGCTGAGGCACGAGAATTGCTTGAACCTGGGAGATGGAGGTTGAAGTGAGCCGAATTGCGCCACTGCAGTCCAGAATATGCCTTTACTCCTGCTTCACACCATACCAAAAAAATCTATTCCAACTGGATTGTAGGATTAAATATGAAAAATCAAACAGTAAGGCTTCTAGGTGATAACAGAACAAAGTGTCTTTCTGACCTGGGGGTATGCCAAGATTTCTTAACAAGTACACAAAAGGACCAACCCAAAAAAATAAATTTAATTTAAAACTTTTTTTTTTTTTTTTGAGACGGAGTCTCACTCTGTCGCCCAGGCTGGAGAGCAATGACACGATATTGGCTCACTGCAACCTCTGCTTCCTGGGCTCAAGTGATTCTCCTGCCTCAGCCTCCCAAGTAGCTGGGATTACAGGCACCCACCACCATGTGTGGCTAATTTTAGTATTTTTAGTAGAGATGGGGTTTCACCATGTTGGTCAGGCTGGTTTCCAACTCCTGACCTCAAATGATCTGCCCACCTCACCCTCCCAAAGTGCTAGGATTACATGCGTGAGCCACCGCGCCCGGCCTAAAATTTAAAACTTTTATTCATCAGAAGATACCATTAAGAGAAAGAAGGGCAACTAAGAAGGAGAAGATACTTATATATAAAGAACTGTTACAGATTAATACAGAAAAACAGGAAATGGTTAAAAGATTTTTACAAGCATTTTAAAAAAGAGGTGATCTGAATGGTTAATCAACATAGGCAAAGGTGCTCAATTAGTCATAAGGAAAATAACTTAAAACCACAATGAAATACCACTGCATACCATAGAATGGCCTTTATGAAAAAAGACAATAACAGCTGGGCACGGTGGCTCCACACCTGTAATTTCAGCTACTCGGGGTGTGGGAGGATCGCTTGAAACCAGTTCAAACCAGCCTGGGCAATATGGTGAGACCCCTGACTCCAAAAATATTTTAAAAATTAGCCAGGCATGGTGGGATGTGCCTGTAGTCCTAGCAACTCAGGAGGCTGAGGCAGGAGAGCCACTTGAGCCCAGGTGTTGAAGGCTGCAATGAGCTATGATCATGCCACTGTACTCCAACATGGGCTACAGAGTTAGATTCTGCCTCAAAAAAAAAAAAAAAAAAAAAAAAAAAAAAGGCCGGGTGCGGTGGCTCATGCTTATAATCCCAGCACTTTGGGAGGCCAAGGTGGGTGGATTACTTGAGGTCAGGAGTTCAAGACCAGCCTGGCCAACATGGTGGAACCCCATTTCTACTAAAAATAAAAAAATAAAAAAAATTAGGCATGTTGGTGCATGCCTGTAGTCCCAGCTACTCAGGAGGCTGAGGCACAAGAATCGCTTAAATCCGGGAGGTGGAGGTTGCAGTGAGCCAAGGTCGCACCACTGCACTCCAGCCTGGGCGACCAAGCGAGATGCTGCCTCAAAAAAAAGAAAAAAAAAAAAAAAAAAAGACAGTATCAACTGTTGTCAAGGACAGGAAGCAAATGCAACTCTCAAACACTACCAGTGGGAGTATAAATTGGTAAAACTGCTCTGGAAAACGGTTTGGTATTATCTTATCTTTTAATAATGAACATGCAAATCCAAACTAATTCCACTCAAAGATACACATACCCAACATAAATGGGTACACATGTGCACTAAAAGATATATACAAGAATGTTCAGAAGTAGTTTTATTTATAATAGCTAAAAAGTGAAAGTCATCTAAATGTCCTTAACAATTAAGCAATTTGTGACATATTCATATAATGGAATATGAGAGCAATGAACAAGAATGAACAAGATAGTACATACTATATTCCATCTACAGGATTTTCAGAAACAGGCAAAACTAATATGCAATGTTAGAGGTCAGATTACCAGTTACTTCTGGTAGGGTCTGAATGGACACGAAGGGAGGTTTTGGGGGACTTGTAATGTTCTATATCATGATCCAGATAGTAACTATACAAATGTATTCATTTCTTAAAATTCATCAAATTGCACAAAGATATTACAGAAAACAAGACAGGGTCCCTACTTCTATGAAATTTGCTTTTTATTTTTTATTTTTTGAGACGGAGGATGGAGTACAGTGGCACAATCTTGGCTCACTGCAGTCTCCGCCTCCCGGTCTCAAGTGATTCTCCTGCCTCGATCTCATGAGTAGGTGGGACGACAGGCTCGCACCACCACACCTGGCGAATTTTTGTATTTTTAGTAGAGATGAGGTTTCACCATGTTGGTTAGGCTGGTCTCAAACTCCTGACCTCAGGTGATCCTCCCACCTCGGCCTCCCAAAGCGCTGGGATTATAGGCATAAGCCACCACACCCAGCTCTGAAATTTACCTTTTAAAGGGTAGGGACAGAAAAACAAATACCTTGTTTGGTAAGTTCTGTACAGAGAATTATAGTAGTCTGATGTGACAAGAGATTAACCAGATGACTATTTTTGATTGGGCCATTCAGTCACTTAATGGAAATTAGCATTTAGTGATATTAAGATATGAGTAACACGATGAAGCCAGCCTTGCAAAGATCAGGTGAAGAGCATATCAGGCAGATCTTATATAAAGGACCTAAAATGGGAATGAGTTAGTAGCGTTCAAACAACAAAAAGAAAGTCAGTATCCTATAGAGGCCATGAGAAGATTAAGTTGAAGAAAAGTAGGCAGGGTCCTGATCATATAAGGGCTTTGTAAATTAGAAAAAGGAGTTAGGATTTTATTCTAAGTATTACGGGAAACAACTAGATGGTTTTAAGGGGAGAGGGATAATATGATACAGGTTTAAAAAGAAAAACACTGGCTGTAAATGAAAGTAGCTTGGTCTGGGCTGGCAGTAGTGGAGACAGAAATGGGATTGGGGGGTAATTCTGGATGTGTTTGTAGGTTACCTTGACATAATTAATCTGCTAATAGATTAAATGTGGGTGATGAGAGACAGTAATCAACAGAAATTCCCAGAATTTTTTGTTTGAGCAACAGAGTGCTGATGGTATTTACTGAGACGGGGAAAACTACAAAGGAATAGGTTTTTGAGGAAGAAACCAAGAATTTTTTCCTAAGTTTAAGACACCAATTAGACATCCGTGTGAAGCTGTCAAGAAGGTAGTCTGAAATTCTAGATAGTTCTCAGGCCTAGAGAACTGGATTTTGAAGTCTCCAGATATATGTGATACTTCAGCTATGTGATCGATTGCAAATATATTTGAGTGTTTAACTTTATTGCTTAGCTGCTCCTTTCTTTCCTGTTCACTCTAAGCAAGTGAGCCAAAATGGGAGCTGTCATGTCCTTACACGACCTTGTCTTCTATCCACAGTAACTGATCTATAAAGACTGATGCCTGTTCCAAGCTGGCCCAAGCAACAGTTCTTTCTCATGATTTTCTGAACTAGGCAGCATTTATTTTCCAGAAATACTCTAGCTAGCTCTTTATTGCCTACCATAAATATTATTTTAACAGTAGTAATTTATTATTTCCTCTCTCGGATGAAGGTGAGAAGGTGTGAATTAAGGTCTTGATAGGAGCATCATTTCGGATTGGTGGAGAAAAGTGGTCTGAGAGACTGAACAGGACATGCAGAGAAAAGCAGGCCTGGGAGGCAAAAAAATGACAATGTCCTCAGTGGTCTAGTGCCTGCGCCAGTTACTGTCTTCCCACAGTAGTTTGGTTACATAAATTGTAAAAGTCCTCCCATTTTTTCCCCCGAACTCATTTTTCTTTTTCTTTCTTTTTTTTTTTTTTTTTTTGGAGACAGCGTCTAGCTCTGTCTCCCAGGCAGGAGTGCAGTGGCACCATCTCACTCACTGAAACCTCTGCCTCCCAGGTTCAAGCCATTTTCCCAATTCAGTCTCATGAGTAGCTGGGAATGCAGGCACGCCCCACCACACCCAGCATATTTTTGTATTTTTTTGTAGAGACGGGGTCTCGCTCTTTGCTCAGGATGGTCTCAAACTCCTAAACTCAAGTGATCGACCACCTGGGCCTCCCAAAATGCTGGGATTACAGGCATGAGCCACTGCATCTGACTCCCCAAACTAATTTTTTTTTTTTTGAGACAGAGTCTCGCTCTGTCACCCAGGCTGGTGTGCAGTGGCACAATCTCGACTCACTGCAACCTCTGCCTCCCAGGTTCAAGTGATTCTCCTGCCTCAGCCTCCCAAGTAGCTGGGATTACAGGTGCCTGCCACCATGCCCAGCTAATTTTTGTGTGTGTGTTTTTAGTAGAGATGGGGTTTTGCCATGTTGGCCAGCCTGGTCTCAAACTCCTGACCTCAGGTGATCCACCCACCTTGGCCTCCCGAAGTCCCGGGATTATAGGCGTAAGCCACCGCACCAGGCCCCAAACTAAGTTAGATTTCTGTCACTTGCAGTGGCAGATTTCCTTATATGGATATATCTATACCTTACAACTGATTATCATAGTGATAATGCAACTCTCTCAAGTTTCAGTGACACAGGCTGGGCCTGGCACTTTGAGGCCAGGAGCTGGACACCAGGTTGACCAACATGGCGACACTCCATCTCTACTAAAACTATAAAAATTAACTGGGTGTGGTGGTGCACACCTGTAATCCCAGATACCCTGGAGGTTGAGGCATAAGAATTGATCGAATCTGGTAGGTGGAGGTTGCAATGAGCCAAGATCACACCACTTCACTTCAGCCTGGGTGACACAGCAAAACTGTCACACACACACACACAAAAGAAAAAAAGTCTGGGTGTGGTGGATCACACCTGTAATCCCAGCACTTTGGGAGGCAGAGATAGGTGGATCATTTGAGGTCAGGAGTTCAAGACCAGCCTGGCCAACATGGTGAAACCCCATCTCTACTAAAAATACAAAAAAAAAAAAAAACTGAGCCAGGCGTGGTGGCACACACCTGTAATCCCAGGTACTCGGGAGGCTGAGGCAGAAGAATCGCTGGAACCCGGAAGGCAGAGCCTGCAGTGAGCCCAGATCATGCCACTGCACTCCAGCCTGGGTGACAGAGTGAGAATCCGTCTCAAAAAATAAATAAAATTAAAAATAATATTTTTTAAAAATTCATTTTGATTTATGATTGATTTATGAAAATCCTTATTTTGCATTAAAATTTTTGTTTACTTCTTCCCATTGTTTAAGTAAATAAAACCTAATTTTGTTCAAAAGAATATAGTCCCAATGAATGGTATGGTGGAAAAGAAGACTAAGTTTGGTCCAAAAGTTTCTTTACTAAAGTGAAATTCCTTGGTCGATATGCCTCTTCAGGTAAAAAAAAATTAATAAAGTAAAATTCTTTCAAGTTGTTTCCTAGCATCTAAAAGGAACTCATGTTTAAATACATTTTTAAACCTTTAATATAAAAGATTATTTCCTTTCAACTTTCAGTAAATTTTTTTTTTTTTTTGAGACAGGGTCTTACTCTTGCCATCTGTAATGCAGTGATGCAATTATAGCTCACTGCAGCCTCAAACTCCTGGCTTAAGCAATCCTCCCACCTCAGCTTCCCAAGCAGCTGGGACCACAGGTGTACACCACCATGTGCAGCTAATTAAAAACATTTTTTGCAGCGACAGATCTCACTATGTTGCCCAGGCTGGCTTCTAACTCAAGCAATCCTCCTGCCTCAACCTACCAAAGTGCTAGGGTTACAGGCATGAGCCACCACACCTGGCCTCAGTAATTATGGAAACAAATCTCAAATTATTTGTTGATCTATTGCTATCACAAATCCAGTTTCAGATGAAAATCCATCTTTACCACTGCCTATTATTAAACTATATCACATTTATTTAACATCTAGAAGATACACTAACATGAAAATCCTTTGTACTTGCTCTTGCTAAAATAAATCCCCAAAATATTAAAGAACTTAACGTGAACTTTTTAAAATATTTGCTTTATAAAATATAAAAAACTTAATGTGAACATTTTATTTTAATATGATTTATACCTTAAATATTTATGTTTCTTGGAAGATGCTTTTCTATTTTCTTTTGAGAAGGAGTCTTGCTCTGTTGCCCAGGCTGGAGTGCAATGGCATGATCTCGGCTCACTGCAACCTCCGTCTCCTGGGTTCCAGCGATTCTCCTGTCTCAGCCTCTCAAGTAGCTGGAATTACAGGTGCATGCCACCACGCCTGGCTAATTTTTGTATTTTTAGTAGAGATAGGGGTCTGCCATGTTGGCCAGGCTGGTCTCAAACTCCTGACCTAAGGTGCTCTGCCTGCCTCAGCCTCCCAAAGTGCTGGGATTACAGGCGTGAGCCACTGTGCCCAGCCTATCTATTTTCACTATCTGATCATCATTTCACTAAGTACGCAGCATTTATTTTCCAGAAATACTCTAGCTAGCTCTTTATCGTCTACTATAAATAATATTTTAGTAGTCATAAGTTAGCAGAAAATAAAATAATTTGAACTTACCCAAATGAATAGACAGGGCTAGGTTTCCTCAATGTTACCCAGTAACTTATTAAACATGTCATTAAACTAAGTAAAAAGAAAAATAAATTTAGTATTAGAACTAGAAGAGAACATGTGAAGATAAATTAAGTTTTCAGAATTCCTAAGTGGTTGAAAGTTATCTGTGTTTGCACAGACTAAATTAATAATAAATTATTCTAATAATTTATTAAGATAATTAATTCTAGTAGTTTACCATCTAATCACAGTGAGCATCTGAACATGTGGTATACTTGGAAGATTTTAACATGTGAAGGAACAGAATAAAGTTATAATACATCAAGTCAGTAAAGTAGAACCTAAATTCATACTTCCACTACACAATGTTATTCACCCTAAATGGTTTCTGTAACTGAAAATGCTAAAAAATGACACATATGATCAATTTTAACTTTGATACGCTTCATCTTTGTTAAAAGTTAACATAAATATTAATAATACCTTGACAACATTTTGAGTGAGATAAAATTATGTTCATTTTCCAACTATAGTAGATTCACTGTAAAACAAGTTACTACAATATGAAATTGAGGTAACAACTATCTGCGTTAGACCCAGTTAAATATGTTAGTTACCTGATTAATAAAAGGCATGCTTTTTTTTTTTTTTTTTGAGACAGAGTCTCGCTCTGTTGCCCAGGCTGGAGTGCAGTAGTGCCATCTCGGCTCACTGAAACCTCTTCCTTCCAGGTTCAAGTGATTGTCCTGCCTCAGCCTCCCAAGTAGCTGTAATTACAGGCATGCACCACCATGCCCGGCTAATTTTTATATATTTTTTTTTAGTAGAGACGAGGTTTCGTCATGTTGGCCAGGCTGGTCTTGAACTCCTGGTCTCAAGTGATCCACCTGCCTTGGCCACCCCAAAGTGCTGGGATTACAGGCGTGAGCCACCGCGCCTGGCCGAAAAGCCATCCTTATAATATACTCCTATCTCATGGATCTTGAAGACATCAAAGTATTTTGTAATCCTTAAATGGAAATATGAAAGGCTCCATGAAGCAGGGAGACAAGAGTCTGTCTCCCTAGCTCACAATTCCTCAATTCTCAGTTATTAACTATCCTTCATTTTTTTCTCCATCTATATTACAGCAGGAACTGATATATGTTCTTTTTTTAGATGGAGTCTCACTCTATCGCCCAGGCTGGAGTGCAATGGCGCGATCTCGGCTCACTGCAACCTCCGCCTCCCAGGTTCAAGTGATTCTCCTGCCTCAGCCTCCTGAGTAGCTGGGATTACAGGCATGCACCACCATGCCCGGCTAATTTTTGTATTTTTAGTAGAGATGGGCTTTCACCACGTTGGCCAGGCTGGTCAGGAACTCCTGACCTTGTGATCCACCCACCTCGGCCTCCCAAAGGGCTGGGATTACAGGTGTGAGGCACCGTGCCTGGCTGAGAACTGGTATGTTCTTAACATGACCCTACTCCCTGGCCACAGCTGACTCATCCACAGATAGGCACCTGACACATGTAACCTAAGCTGCGTCAAAATGCTGCTCTGGATTTGGAAGTAGGATTTGGAACTGCAACCAAGGCATTCCAGGCTTAATTTGGCTGCTTTCCTGAATGATGGAAATGCACATTTGAAAATTTGGAGTAGTATTTGTATTTCTATCCCTGGATTTGCGAGTAGGGAACGCTGACCTACAGGAAGAAAATAGCTCAACGGTGTCCATGTACAGGGAACAGAGATGAGAGATAAAGAGAAGTTTGATTCTTACAATGGGGCCCAGTTAAACCTCTGCCCTCAGATTCCATTAACACCCCTGAATCTGTAGAATTAAGTATCCTACACCTTTGCTCCCCCAATAGAGCTCCAGTGGAAGTCTGATGGCTGCAATCAAAAGAGCCCTGGCTAACTCCTTGAGAGTACTTCACACTCATCATGACAGGGTTCATATAGTGTGCTAATCTCACTTCCAATTCATGTAAGCAGCAAGAATATGGTATTTACATTGAAGTTCAGCAAATAATCTAGGTTGGTTTTGAATGGATGAATGATTTTTGAAATTGCATCGGATAAAGGCAGCCAAATGAGTTTCTGCAGTCAGAAATATACAATTAGGCTGGGCGTGGTGGCTCATGCCTGTAAACCTAGCACTTTGGGAGGTCAGGGCAGGTGGATCACTTGAGAGCCCAAGAGTACAAGACCAGCCTAGGCAACATGTCGAGACCCCATCACCACAAAAATACACAAAAATTAGCCAGGTGTGGTGGTGAACACCTGTAGTCCCAGCTACCCCAGAGGCTAGGGTAGGAGGATCGCCTAAGCCCAGGAGATTGCAGCTGCAGTGAGCCATGACTATGTCACTGTACTCAGCCTGGGTGACAGAGTAATACCCTGTCTCAAAAAAAAAAAAAAAAAAAGAAAAGAAAAACGAAATATACAATTGAAGCTTCAATCATTAATTTATTATTTATGGTTTTTTTTTTGAGACGGAGTCTCACTCTGTCGCCCAGGTTGGAGTGCAGTGGCACAATCCTGGCTCACTGCAACCTCCACCTCCCAGGCTCAAGCGATTCTCCCACCTCAGCTTTCCAAGCAGCTGGGATTACAAAAGTGCGCCACCATGCCCACCTCATTTTTTGGTATTTTAGTAGAGATGGGTTTTTACCATGTTGCCCAGGGTGGTTTCGAACTCCTGAGCTCAGGGAATCTGCCAGCCTCGGACTCCCAAAGTGCTGGGATTACAGGCGTGAGCCACCTCGCCCGGCCAAAGCTTCAATTATTAATTGTAAAATTTTTCTTTGTAAATAATACTCTATAGATAAGATTTGTTAATAATAAGAAATCTGAAAAATTCAGTGTCTAAATATTAACTTTTGAAAATTTTACCCTTAAAAATGGATAAAAATCTCTGAAAATTTTTCTATAATTCATCAATTTTAAGAAGTACATGTTTTTTCACATCTTAATAATCCTCAAATCAGGGTTAGTCTTACAACTTACAGTACATCACAGTTGAATTAGCAGCATTTTTCTTGGGGACACATAAAATAAGTATTTGTCTTAAAACTGTTGGCATCTAATATTTGATGAAATATGGTACACTGATCGAATTTACTTCCCATTACTACATAAATCTAAAAAATCAGTACCCATTTATTAACAAATCATTCAATATGTTTGATTTTATTTATATGTGTAAATCATTTTAATTTCCATAGTTTAGTAACACCACTTTGGTATTAATGTTCTCCAATAAAATATATTTCTACACCTCTTTGTAAAACAGTAGCATTTATTAACACTTAAAATTCTAAAATCAGATAACCACTTTCTTCTGTGTTTGGATATTAGTGAAGCTCTAAATGAATCTAAATCACACCTTTCATCTGAAACGTTATGTAGCGATAGCTAACTCATATGGCAGATTGTGAGCCTCTAAAGAAAGAAACTTCCTCAAATTAAATGAAAAGATTTTCCTTATGAACCTTAAGACATAAGGGAAACATTATTACTTTAGTTTTAAAATTTGACTATTTTTATTACCGTTAGTTTGTTATCAAATATGGTTGGTAACATTAGTAACTATTCCCCAAAGTAACTTTTTAAAGTACATGCATGGGCTGAGCGCGGTGGTTCACGCCTGTAATCCCAGCACTTTGGCAGGCTGAGGCGGGAGGTCCACCTGAGGTCAGGAGTTCAAGACCAGCCTGGCCAACATGGTGAAACCCCATCTCCACTAAAAATACAAAAATTAGCCGGGCATGGTGGTGGGTGCCTGTAATCCCAGCTACTCGGGCGGCTAAGACAGGAGAATCGCTTGAGACCGGGAGGTGGAGGCTGCATGCAGTGAGCCAAGATCGTGCCACTGTACTCTAGCTTGGGTGACAGGATGAGGCCCTGTCTCAAAAATAAATAAATAAAATCCTTTTTTTTTTTTTTTGAGACAGGGTATCAGTGTGTCACCAAGACCCAAGACTGGATTACAGTGGTGCAATCATAGCTCACTGCAGCCTTGACCTTTTGGGCTCAAGTGATCCTACTGCCTACTATTCAGTGAGTAGCTGGGATTACAGGTGTGTACCACCAAACTTGGCTAATTTTTAAAATTTTTTGTAGAGAAGAGGTTTCACTGTATTGCCCAGGCTGGTCTTGAACTCCTGGGCTCAAGCAGTCCTTTCACCTTGGCTTCTCAAAGTGCTGGGATTACAGGCATGAGCCACTGTGCCTGGTCTATAGGGTATCTCTCTGTCACTGAGGCTGGAGTACAGTGCTAAGATCATAGCTCTCTGCAGCCTCAAACTCCTGGGCTCAAATGTCCTCCTGCCTCAGCCTCCCAAAGCACTAGGATTACAGGCATGAGACACCACTCTTGGCGGTAACATATTTAAACTGCTTTTTATTTATTTTTAAATTGGCGTTTTATTTATATAAATAAAATTCAAAATTTACAACAGATATATAGTGGGAAGATTTTAAACTTGTCTCCCTGCCAGAGTCTTCCTCTTCAAAGACACCTATTATTATCAGTTTGTTTATCTTTCCTATGTATATTTACGCAAATACAAGCAAATGAATGAGTGTAGTGTGTGGATGTGTATACATGTACGTATTCTTATTCTTTCCCCCTTTTTAATACAAATTGCAGCATACTATATACACTGTTGTGTATCTTGCTTTTTCCCCTCATTAGGACCTCAAAACCATAAAATGCTTTGATTTTATTGTCTAAGGCTACATAATATTTAATTACACAGATAAGTGGGTTCCCTATACCCAGCAGGATCGGTTTCATCTGTTGCTAGAAATGCAAATTCTTGGGTCCTACCCTAGGCCTCCTGAATCAGTAACTCTGGAAATGAAGCAATATGTATTTTAACAAGACCTTCCAAGTAATTCTGCTGTATGGTCAAGTTTGAGAATTCTATGATATATACATACCAAAATATGGGGTATACATGCCCCATTATTTCATCATTCATATACTGATTGTTTCCAATCTTTTGTACTGAATAATCTCATATGCAACTCATTTTTAACCACAGGAATATATCTGCAGCATAAATTACTAGAAAAGGAACTGCTACGTTTAAGGTTATGGGCATTTATAAATTTAATTGATATTGCCAAATTGCCCTCGAGATGCTGCACCAATTTATATTCCCACCAGCAATGTATAAAAGTGCCTGTTTCCAGCCAGGACAGGTAGTTCATGCTTGTAATCCCAACGCTTTGGGAGGGAAAGGCAGGAGGATCACTTGAGCCCAGAAATTTGTGACTTGCCTGGGCAACATAAGAAGACCTCATTTCTACAAAATATCAAAAAATTAGGCAGGTGTGGTGGCACAAGCCTGTGGTACCACTCACTCAGGAGGCTGAGCTGGATCATTTGAGCTCAGGCGGTAAAGGCTGAGGCTGCAGTGAGCCGAGGTCAACCCACTGCACTCCAGCCTGAGAAAAAAGAATGCCTGTTTAGCCAAAACAATCTTGAAAAAGAACAAAGCTGGAATATCCACACTTTCCAATTTCAAAACTTACTACAGAGCTGCAGTAATCAAGACTGATGGTACTGGCATAAAGGACAGACATACAGATCAATGGGACAGACCTGAGAATCCAAAAATAAACATTCACAGTTACAGTGAACTGGTGTTTGTTGTTGTTGTTTTGTTTTTTGAGATGGAGTCTCACTCTGTTGTCCAGGCTGGAGTGCAATGGTGCGATTCCGGCTCACTTACTGCAATCTCTGTCCCACCAGGTTCAAGCGATTCTCCTGCCTCAGCCTCCTGAGTAGCTGGGACTACAGGTGTATGGCACCATGCCCGGCTCATTTTTGTATTTTAGTAGAGATGGAGTTTTGTCATATTAGTCAGGCTGGTCTCAAACTCTTGACCTCAGGTGGTCCACCTGCCTTGGCCTCCCAAAGTGCTGGGATTACAGGCATCAGCCACCACACTTGGCCCGTGAACTGGTTTTTGACAAGGGTACCAAGGCAATTCAATGGGGAAAGTAGTCTTTTCAACAAATGATGATAGGACAACTGGTTATCCACATGCAAAAGAATGAATCTGAACCCCCAATCTCACACCATTAAAAAAAAATAACTTGGCCGGGTGCGGTGGCTCACGTCTGTAATCCCAGCACTTTGGGAAGCCGAGGCGGGCGGATCACAAGGTCAGGAGATTGAGACCATCCTGGCTAACACGGTGAAACCCTGTCTCTACTAAAAATACCAAAAATTAGCCAAGCGTGGTGGCGGGTGCCTGTAGTCCCAGCTACTCAGGAGGCTGAGGCAGGAGAATGGCATGAACCTGGGAGGCGGAGATTGCAGTGAGCCAAGATCGCGCCACTGCACTCCAGCCTGGGCGACAGAGCGAGACTCCATCTCAAAAAAAAAAAAAAAAAAAAATTAACTCAAAATGGATCAAAGGGCACAGTGGCTCACGCCCATAATCTTAGCACTTTGGGAGGCGGAGGCAGGCAGATGACTTGAGTTTGGGAGTTCGAGACCAGCCTGTTCAATATGGGAAAACCCTGTCTCTACTAAAAATACAAAAACTAATTGGGCATGGTGGCTCATGCCTGTAATCCCAGCACTTTGGGAGGCTGAGGCTGCAGTGAGCCAAGATCATGCCAATGCATTCCACCCGGGGTGACAGAGTGAGACTCCATCTAAAAAAAACAAAAACAACAACAAAAAAAATCAAAGACCTAATTGTAAGAGCAAAAACTATAAAACTCTTAGAAGAAAACATACCTATTGCTCAGGCACGGTAGCTCACGCCTGTTATCCCAGCACTTTGGTAGGCCGAGGTGGGTGGACCACTTGAGGTCAGGAGTTTGAGACCAGCCCAGCCAAAATGGTGAAACCCCGTCTCTAATAAAAATACAAAAAATTAGCCGTGCCTGGTGGTACATGCCTGTAATCCCAGCTACTTGGGAGGCTGAGGCAAAAGAATCACTTGAGCCAAGATCACGCCACTGCACTCCAGCCTAGGTGACAGAGTAAGACCCTAACTCAAAAAAAAAAGAAAGAGTAACTATTGATATATGCTACAACAAAACAGAAAAGCATTGTGCTAAGAAGACAGTCATAAAGGACTGTATATTGTATGATTCCACTTATATGACATGTCCAGAGTAGGTAAATCTATCGCGAGAAAAAACTGATCAGTGGTTGCCTAGGGCTGGAGAAGAGAATGGAATGAGTGGGAGAACGGAATGACTGGAGAGTAATAGCTAAGGCGAGTGGTCTCTTTTTGAGACAAGGAAAATATTGTAGGTCAGGCGTGGTGGCTCACACCTGTAATCCCAACACTTTGGGAGGCCAAGGTGGGCAGATCACTTGAGGTCAGGAGTTCGAGACCAGCCTGGCCAACATGGCGACACCCCGTCTCCACTAAAAGTACAAAAATTTGCCAGGCGTGGTGGTGCATGTCTGTATTCCCAGCTACTTGGGAGGCTGAGGCAAGAGAATAGCTTGAAACTGGGAGGCGAAGGTTGCAGTGAGCTGAGATCATGCCACTGCTCTCCAGCCTGGGTGACAGAGTAAGATTCCGTCTCAAAGAAAAAAAAAAGAAAGAAAATATTGTAAAGTTAATTATGGTGATGAATGCACAACTCTATGTATGAAGAGACTAAAAGTCATTTTAAGGCATATGAATTATAGTATCTCAATAAAGCCTTTTTTTTTTTTGAGATGGAATCTCACTCTGTCGCCCAGGCTGGAGTGCAGTGCTGCGATCTCAGCTCACTGCAACCTCTGCCTCCCAGGTTCAAGCAATTGTCCTGCCTCAGCCTCCCGAGTAGCTGGGACTACAGATGCCCACCACCATGCCTGGCTAATTTTTGTTATTTTTAGTAGAGACGGGGTTTCACCATATTGGCCAGGCTGGTCTCGAACTCCTGACTTTGTGATCCACCCTCCTCAGCTTCCCAAAGTGCTGGGATTACAGGCGTGAGCCACTAAGCCTGGCCAAATAAAGCCATTTTTAAAAAAACAAAAGAGCACGTTTCCCTAATACACTCAGCGACACAGGTATACTCAAATTTCTTAAGCTTTCCCAACGTGACAGGCAAAACAGCATCTCAGAGTAATTTTAATTTGCATTTCTCTTACTGTTAGTGAAGATAAGCAACTTTTCATAAGTGTCATTTATATTTCCTTTTCTGTAAACTCTCTGTATGAATTATAATTTTTTTCTTCCTTTTCTTTTTCTTGGTCTTTGTCTTAAATTGTAGGGCCCTTCAAATGTTAGCAAAATTAGCCCTCTGAGGTATGAATTACAAATATCTTCTCAGGTTATTCTCTGTTTATGGTGACATTTGCTACCTAGAGTTTTTAACTTTAATATAATCAAATTTATAAATATTTTGTTTTTTGAGACTGAGTTTCGCTCGTTGCCCAGGCTGGAGTGTGGTGGCACAATCTCGGCTCACTGCAACCTCCGCCTCCTGGGTCCAAGCAAGTCTTATGCCTCACCCTCCCAAGTAGCTGGGACTACAGGCATACACCACCATGCCTGGCTATTTGTATTTTTAGTAGAGACGGGGTTTCACCATGTTGGCCAGGCTGGTCGTAAACTCCTGACCTCAAGTGATCCACCCGCCTCGGCCTCCCAAAGTGCTGGAATTGCAGGCATGAGCCGCCCCACCTGCTCTCTAATTACTGTTATGTCTCTAATTATTGTTGTTTGTGTGTTTGTTCTATGTTGATAATTTTACTTATTTAGTAGATTACTTTCCTTTAAGCAAAGAAAACTTCTTCATAATCTACTTTTTCTCTCCATAGATTTGCCTGTTTTGGACATTTCATATAAATGAAATCATAAAATATGTGGTCCTTTATGACTGTCTTCAAAGCATAATGTTTTTATTGTTTTCTTGTAAGATATCAGTAGTTGCTGTTTTTATTGCTGAATTGTATGGCTATACCACATTTCTACCAAGTTCCTTATTAGCTCCAAAACATTAAGATTTCCTAAAAACTTACCTAAAAAGATCAAAAATGGTCAGGTAAGTATAGGCAGTTAAAGCTGCAAAACAACAAAAAAATGATTAAAAGTATTACTGACCCCTCTAAAAAAATACAGCAAGTTACCAAAATTATTTCTACCAGGGGTATCCATTATCAAAAAAACTTTTGAGTCACGGGCCAACCTCATATATTGGCAGTTATCTAGTAAATCTGATAAATATATGTAGCCAAAGTTCGTTGGTAGAAAAGCTTACTTCCCAACCTGATTTCTCCATTAGGAAAAATGAAGCAATGAATGTTCAAAAGCCCTGTTACCATTTTTCTGCCTGCTTCTGTAATCTCAGCGCTATTTCAAATGTATTGTTTGAATAACTGAACAAAAGAACAATGCAATAAAAAACATAAAAAGATATAAGAAAAAAATTACAGAATTCCCTTTTTAAGGAAAAGCCAACAAACCTCAAAATCTAACTTACAAACTGCATAAATTAAAGTTTTAATCTATTATATTAAAAACAAATCTCCAGCCAGGCACGGTGGCTCACGCCTGTAATCCCAGCACTTTGGGAGGCTGAGGCGGGTGGATCATAAGGTCAGGAGATCGAGACCATCCTGGCCAACATGGTGAAACCCCATCTCTACCAAAACTACACAAATTAGCCAGGCGTGGTGGTACGTGCCTGTAATCCCAGCTACTTGGGAGGCTGAGGCAGGAGAATCGCTTGAACCAGGGAGGTGGAGGATGCAGTGGGCCAAGATCACACCACTGCACTACAGCCTGGCAACAGAGTGAGACTCCGTCTCAAAAAAAAAAAAAAAAAAAAAAAATCTCCAGATAGATTTAATGATTTTTCAAAAAATAACAGCTTATTTAAAATGAAAATGGCCAGGCATTGTGGCTTACGCCTGTAATCCCAGCACTCTGGGAGGCCAAGGTGGGTAGATCGTTTGAGCTCAGGATTTTGAGACCAGCCTGGGCAACATGGCGAAACCCCATTTCTGTTTTAAAATATATTTTAAAAGGAAAAAAACTTAAAAAAAAATTACAATCCTAACAAATGAACAAAAGTTTACAGTTTACAGGGAAGTTTTAAATATAGTCCCTTATTTAAATCATTTGAGTTATATACATTTCAGAATAATATATTCTATGTAAGATATACCTTTATTTCCAATGAGAAAAATAAAAGTAAAAATAACAACTCCATAAAAATACAAAGGTGACATACCTATACTATTAGTAGAACTGCACCACATAAGCAGGAAGCCAGTACATATCAAGTTTATTACACCAAAGAGCAGTATCTTCCAGGACTGTGAAAATAAAAATCACTCTTATGTGTACAGAAGTGATAAATTTCACGGGGTCTGTTCAAGTTGCTACAATTTATACTCTGATATTCAAAGGAATAAACATAACTTCCTTCAAAAAGTCTGTGTCACACTTTCTACATCTACCAAAATTGTCATCGGCTAAGTTATTACAGTATACAAGTTTAAAAGAATAGTTCCAGAAGGAGAGTTGTTCAAGAGAAAATAAATTCTGACATAGAAATTCTCAAATAGTTGAGAAAAATACACATACATATGCATATCGTTTTGTCTCTATAAGTACATATTATAGAGACAACGATGAAGCAAATGGGGCCAAATGTAAGCAACTGGTGAATCTGAATAAAGGGCATGATGATGTTCCTAAAAGTTAGTAATCTTGTCCAGGTGCAATGGCTCACTCCTGCAATCCCAGCACTTTGGGAGGCCAAGGTGGGTGGAGGTCAGGAGTTCAAGATCAGCCTAGCCAACATGGTGAAACCCCGTCTCTACTAAAACAAAAAATCAACCAGGTGTGGTGGCAGGCACCTCTATTTCCAGCTACTTGGGAGGCTGAGGCAGGAGAATCGCTTGAACCAGGGAAGCAGAGGTTGCAGTAAGATGAGATTGTGCCACTGCACTCCAGCCTGGGCGACAGAGCGAGACTCTGTCTCAAAAAAAAAAAAAAAAGTACTGACTTTGGCTGTTCAACATCAACCAAGTAAGGTGAGAAATAAGGAAAAATCTTCATTTTGGCAACACAGAGATTTTTGGTTACCTTGTAAAAGCTGTTTATGTGAATTAGTGGGCACAAGTACCTAACTGGTATGTGTTTAATAAAGATGAGGAGAAGAGAAGGTGAACACAATGTACTGATAATTCTTTCAAGTAGGTTTGCTACAAAAGGAAGCTGAGAAATGAAGCAGCCCTGAGAGTGGAACTTATAACATGTAATTACGATGCAAGAAAGAGGAGAATGATGCATGATGCAAGAAAAACAATGATGTAAGAAACAGAACAATTATAGGGACATCATCTTTCAGTAGGCAACAAGTGAAAGGATTGCCTTTATAGAGAAGAACTGAAAGCTTGTCCAGAGAAATAGGAGGGAAGGCGGAGTGATGGCTGATGTGCTAATGATAGGATGTAGAAGTTTTCTTCTGATTACTTCTTTTCCCTTGGTGAAACAGGAAGCAAGATCATCAGGTTAGGGTGAGGATGAAGAAGGTATTAGAAGCTTGAGGATAGAAACGAAAGAACATCGTATGAAACAGCCATCTAGGAAATTGGAAAATTGAATGAACAAAGGAAATATAAAATGAAAGAGCACTAATAGGCAGCACTTAATAGGCAGCACTAATGGTCTGTCTGATCATGAATTCAAAGTGAGACCAGTCGCATGGTTTTGTTTCTCTCAGGTTACATTCAGTTGCTTAGATGCAAGTAGAGTAGAAAGAAAGTGAACTTAATGAAGGTTAGGGATTTTCCAGGAATTAAGACAGAGGGAAGGGGAGCACAAAAGAGTTGAGAACATATAAAAGAAAATGATACTAGCTGGGAGTGGTGGTGTACCCCTGTAATCCCAGCTACTCAAGAGGCTGAGGAAGGAGGATCCCTTGAGCCCAGGAGTTCAAGACCAGCCTGGATAATTTAGCAAGATTCCATCTCAAAAAAAAAAGAACAAAAAGGAGGGAAATGATAATGATGGAGCATAGAATCTAAGTTGGATAAGGAAGCAAATGAGGATAACGGAGTTGAAAAATAGTGAAAATATGGCAGAGTTTCAATTGGAGTGCCCATTGGTACTGCTTATTATTGTTTCATTGAAGCTGGCTTTACTTAAAAGTCATCAAATATTTACTGAATGTTTATATTGTACTTCTATAAAAAGGTGAGCAAAATAGAGACAGTCACTTCCCTCAGAGAGTTTATCATTTAGACAACAATGAGAAGCATGAAACACAGTAACTAGAAGGTTTACATTGGTGGCCTAAAAGGATGGCAATTACATCTTTTTATTTACAGTCTCAAAACATATTTTTCTTGCCCTACATTAAAAATGAGAAAACATGGGCCAGGCACGGTGGTTCACGCCTGTAATCCCAGCACTTTGGGAGGCCGAGGTGGGCGGATCACCTGAGGTCGGGAGTTCGAGATCAGCCTGACCAACATGGTGAAACCCCATCTCTACTAAAAATACAAAAAATTAGCCGGGCGTGGTGGCCCATGCCTGTAATCCCAGCTACTTGGGAGGCTGAGGCAGGAGAATCGCTTGAACCCGGGAGGCAGAGGTTGCGGTGAGCCAAGATCATGCCATTGCACTCCAGCTTAGGCAACAAGAGTGTAACTTCATCTCAAAAAAAAAAAAATAAATAAAAGAGAAAACATGGCTTTAGACTGGATCCATTTAATTTTTTGAAAACTTAATAACAAAAAGCAACCACAAAACCATTTTTCTTTAAAACACTTCAGAATTAGAATCAAAACTTTAACAGAAGCTTCCTACCAAAGTAAAACAACTTAACACCAAACAACTGCAATTTTACACTAAAAAAATACTTTTCCAACATAGAAAAATGAAAACAGTGTGGCAGGATCAGGAGTGATTTCTATTGGCCTTAAAAATTATCTTTCTTCAATGTTATAATGTTGTTTGTGCAATAATTAAAATTGGGGTTAAGGAATAACTTACCCTTCG
Organism: Homo sapiens; assembly: GCF_000001405.40. Classification (NCBI taxonomy): domain Eukaryota; kingdom Metazoa; phylum Chordata; class Mammalia; order Primates; family Hominidae; genus Homo; species Homo sapiens. The sequence goes on along the minus strand of NC_000002.12, from coordinate 32,171,367 downwards.
GTCAGCTGCTACAAGTCTAAATTCCCGTAACAACTTGCCAAAAAAGGATCTTTGTGGTTTTCGAAAGAGATGAATTGTCCCCTTTCAAACAAACATATACAAATCAGCATTTAGATATTTAATCATCTTCAGAGTTCCTATGATATGATATAGTGGTTCCTATGATATAAATAACCAATATTTATTAAGTACTCAATATACATCAAGCACTTATTCTAGACACTTTATGTGTATTTATGGATTTAATATTCACAATAAACCTATGTGGTGGAGACAACTTTTAGTAAGTCATCCAAAGTCACAGAGCTAGTAAATGGCTGAGCAGAAATTCAAACCCAGGCTTTTTAGCTCCAGACCACACTCTTTATTTTTAAATGGATAAGGCAACTTGAACTGAAAAAGAAATAGTTTGCCAAATAGCTCTACTGGAAATTTCTACTGAAAATTCACCTAATTAAAGCTATATATGTGGTTGTGCTTGGGGCTCATGCCTGTAATGCCAGCACTTTGGGAGGCCGAGGCAGAGGGATAACTTGAGGCCAGGAGTTTGAGACCAGCCTGGCCAACATGGCAAAACCCTGTCTCTACTAAAAATATAGAAATGAACTGGGTGTGGTGGTGCACACCTGTAATACCAGCTACTCAGGAGGCTGAGGCGTGAGAATCTCTTGAGCCTGGGAGGTGGAGTTTGCAGTGAGTCAAGATTGTGCCACTGCACTCTGGCCTCGGTGACAGAGTGAGACTCTGTCTCAAAAAGAAAGTAAGTTCAGGCAACTATTATAGTAAAACCCCTGAGATTCTCTCTTAGGCATTCAGTCAAAGTATCTGACATCCTGGCTAGTCTCCCTGGCCCCTGCTAGTGTATAGTTAGTTTGGGGATAGTAAAGATAGGGCTCACCAATGAGAGAGGAGACCAAGTGGCAACTAGAGGGGATTAACCACCCAAGTTTAGGAAATCACATGGGAAAGCCTTAGCAGAACAGAGAGTTCAAACACATATGAGAAATTAACTTATGAGAAAAGCAGTATCCAATATCACTGGGAGAAAATATAAGCCAGTCAATAAATGGTATTTTGATCAAGGTAATGTTTCACCCTTACCGTTACTCCTTACTCTGTTGTTATTTTTAAAAATAAAATACAGATTTATAGAGTACTTGACTGAAGAAAGTCTAGATGTATTATTTTATAATCTGGGAGTTGGGGGAAGCCTTTCTTAATAGGGCATAAAACCCAAGAAGCTCTAAAGGAAAAAAATTGATTGATTTTACTATATAATTTCATGGGCGAATGTAATACCCTTAAGGGGGAAAAAAACTTTAAGAAGGTCAAACTGAAAAAAAACTATAATTCACAACAGACAATAGGCCAATTTTCTCTATACACAATGAGCTTCCACAAACTATTTTTAAAAAGATGAATAACCCAGTTTTAAAAGTTACACATTTATAAAGCTGGCCAAATCAGTACCTGCTCATTATTCACATTTGCTTTTGCAACTTTGTATTGTTAATGTGAAATCATGATTTCTCTTGATACTTTAAAAATAAAAATGGTATGCCTCTCCCTATACACAGTCACATCCATCTCTTGAACCTCAGTTCCAGCTGCTTTTGAGGAGGACAGTCTGATTTTAAATATAGGCTACACGGCAAACAGGATATTCACTCTGTCGCAGCCCCATTCTGCGGTGAAGGAGTAGCTGGGACTACAGGTACCCACCACCACGCCCGGCTAATTTTTTTTTACCTTTAGTAGAGACGGGGTTTCACCGTGTTAGCCAGGATGGTCTTGATCTCCTGACCTCGTGATCCGCCCGCCTTGGCCTCCCAAAGTGCTGGGATTACAGGCGTGAGCCACCGCACCCAGCCAATAAATATATCTTTTTCTTGGCTGGCCATGGTGGCTCATGCCTGTAATTCCACCACTTTGGGTGACTGAGTCAGGAGGATCAGTTGAGCCCAGGAGTTCAAGACCAGCCTAGGAAATATACTGAGACCCTGTCTCTACAAAAAAATTGAAAAGAAAAAAATTAGCCAGGCATAGTGGTACATGCCTGTAGTCCCAGCTACTCAGGACACCAAGGTGGAAGGATCGCATGAGCCCGGGAAGTCAAGCAGTGAGCCAGGTTCACACTTTACTCAAGCCTGGGCAACAGAGCGAGACCCCATCTCGAAATAAATAAATAAATACATAAATAAATGTACATATGTATAAATATTATATATATGTGTATGTACATATGTATATATATTCTTTTCTTAAAGAATTATGTGTGAGTTATTTTGGTTCCAAAGATTTAAAAAATTCTCCTTAATACTGTTATTTTGGACATCTTCTGTTTAACCCTAGCCAACTTTAAGTTTCAGGTTAAGAGAATCAACAAGGTTTCTAAGAGGCAGAAAGCCACTTCTGATGCCATCCTGACAATGAAAATAAAACAAAAATCCTAATGTCATATCACTCTTCCCAAAATTATATTGGCTCGCCATTGCTATCAGAATAAACTACAAATTTTACAACCTGAATTTCCAGGTTTTCAATGACTTAGCCTGTTTCTTTCCAGTCTTATCTCTTACTCCAGATAGAAACCCTCAACTTCAGTTAAACTGGTCTACTCTTTTGTCTCATGACCACTCTTGCGTGAAAAGGCCAGATCTGTCTAACCCAAGCTCTTATTCATATAATGACAAACAAGTATTAGATTAAGAGTATTAGAGTGGGGCACAAAGTACTTAGTTTCATGTTTCACTTCTTAAATGAAGTCTTCCTAGATCATTCCAAACTATAGTGTTTTTTATGCCACTTATTTTGCATTAACCAAAGTAAAGCCTTCAACTTGTTACATTGCTTTGTAATTTTAGTAACTTCACTAATGACAAGGGCTATTTTCCTTTATATTTTGTTTTTATATACTTATATTTTTAATATTATATATTTATATTATTTATATTTTCTAAGAAGGCACTGTTTTCACACAGCATGTTAATAAACACAAAACCTTTTTCTCAATATTTTATTTTAAAATATTTATTTTAAAAAATAAACCTTAAATACTGTTTCCCTGCATGACTAATACTGATGTTTCAAGCATAAAGATATAGTGCCATAGGTTTTCAGTGCTTTATAAAACAGACGTTTTATTTGTATTTTTCTTTATATTTTCTAAGAAAGTACTGTTTTCACATAGCATGTTCTTAATAAACGCAAAACCTTTTCTCAATATCCTTTAAAATAAACCTTAAATACTGTTTCCCTGCATGACTAATACTAATGTTTCAAGCATAAAGATATAGTGCCATAAGTTTTCAGTGTCTTATAAAACAGATGTTTATTGAAAACTTCCTCTGGGCCAGGCACGCTACAAAGCTCTGGGAATTAGGGTGAAATACATAGGTCCTGCTCTCAATGAGCTTACAGTCTAGAAAGTGAGAAAGACAAATAAGTACACAACTTTAACATCGTCTGTAAGGATTACAGATGTTACTGGTAAAAAACACAAGAGATTCAAGTTTTACTTTCTTAAATTAGGGCTGTGAGTTAATGAAGGTGTATAATCTGAAAGACCTCTGAATTTTAAGTCTCTTATCCCTTTATCTTCAACTCCCTTCAAATCATCAGTATTATAGGCAAGTTAAGTTTCTATTGTATGTATTCGTTTTGTGCAGCTTTATGTAACAAAACTGGTGTGTGTGTGTGTGTGTTTGTGCATATAAAAGCACAAGGTACCACCAGAGCACAAAGGAGAAGCAACTAAGAGGATACTGGAACATGAGGGAAAGGTTCATGAAAAATAATTAAGGATATATAAGGGTTATTCTGATAAGGACAGCCGATAGAGAACAGAGAACAATTCTGGGGATGGAAGAGCATATGCAAATTAGGTACAAAGGCTCAATTAATACAGCATGATTTGCAAGCTATTCACTGTGGCTGAAATACGGATGTTGCATACATGTATGCATTAAAAAAAAAAAAAAAAAAAGAGTTTGTGGCCTGGCACGGTGGCTCACGCCTGTAATCCCAGCACTTTGGGAGGCAGAGGCGGGAGGATCACCTGAGGTCAGGAGTTCGCGATCAGCCTGACCAACATGGAGAAACCCCGTCTCTACTAAAAATACAAAATTAGCCAGGCGTGGTGGCGCATTCCTGTAATCCCAGCTGCTCGGGAAGGTGAGGCAGGAGAATCGCTTGAACCCGGGAGGCGGAAGTTGTGGTGAGCCGCGATCGCGCCATTGCACTCCAGCCTGGGCAACAAGAGTGGAACTCCGTCTCGAAAACAACAACAAAAAAAGAGGCTGTAAAAGTAAGAAGCTTGATAATGAGTGGCTTTGTATGCCATGCTAAACAGGACTTTATCTTGAGTGCTACAGAAAAAAAAAAAAGGAGAAAATTTGAGTAAGGGAGTGATGTGGTCAAATTTTAGAAATATAACTCTGGCTACAGGCTTCACAATGGTGAATGTTTTGAAGAAGAGCGTAACTGAAGGCTATTTGATCATTAGCCAAAAAGTGTAAACTTTTACCCATTTTCTGTGTGCAAAAGGATTACAGAAAATTTACAAAACATAAAGTGTGTGAATGAGGCATTTTCCCGACCATATCCACTTAAGTAAAAAACTTAGTACAGTGACAAAAGCTTAGGCACAGAAATGTGGTCTCTTTCTCATACGTAGGCTATCAATAAGTACTCCATAAATTTTTCTAATAAATGCATTTTCAAAAGGCACACGCCACTTGGACACTTCAAATCCCAACCAACTGCTTATCTTTAAAGTTCAGAGCTATATATTTGAGCTCTAAAGGCAAAGAATGACTAATTCTAACAAATTTGAGAGAAAACACCATATCCCAACAACCATAACGTCTACTGGGTCTTCCATTAGTTTCTACAAACCCAGAAATAAAGCAGCAATAAAATGTCCTACCAACACCTTGACTTTCTGTAGTTACTGCGCTTATGAAATTTGCTGCCGTAATCAGGCTACTTAATATTTAGTAAAGCCAAGTTGCAGAGTGAGACGTCTGCCCTAAAACCCTATTACTAACCTTTTTTTTTTTTTTCCGCTGGCGTTATCGCCACTGCTCTAAGAATCACTATTACAGTTGTTGCTGTGGACTTGTTTTCAGATCTTTTGTTGGTGGCCTAGTTGTTGACGCTGGCAAAAACTTTTATTACCTTAAAGAAATCTCGGCAGAGGGAAGTCAGAAACTCGCCAGGAGCTGAAAGCTCTGCCTGCAGCGGGGCCTAGATCGTGAGCGCCTGCGGAACAGGTGAGGGACCGAAAGGGACCAGAACTCTGAAGGGGAACATTTTGGGAGACAGCCGCTCCTGCCAAGGGGCCCGACTTCAACTCCAATGACCCCTCCTCTGGGTGGCTGAGGGATTTCAAGGTCGCTTCGGGACCAAATAAGATAAACCGAATCAGCTACAGCCGAAACCCTCACCCCAACAGCCAACTCACCATGATAAGGAGCTGCACAGCTCCCGCCGGAAGCCGTTCTGGGTGCTCGAGTTTTCCCAGAACGGAAGGGGTGGGGCACCAGTGGGCGATTGGCTGTGAGGAAAGCGTGGGAGGAAGTGCGTGCTCTGGCCTCCGGCTTCCGTCCCCTTCCCGGCTGTCCCTGCACTCCGTGGCGGAAGGCGGCTAGAGCGGCTCCCTCTGAGCTCTCCGAGAGATTGGTCGGGACCTGAAGCGTTGAGGTTAAGGGCAAGGCAAGGAGCAACGAGGAGTTTTTCGTTACGTTAGAAAAATTTCGTTGCGTGCTGAAGCGCTTTTACCTGTGTTGTATGATTTAACCTTATGAAAATGGACAGTATTCCAGTTTTACAAGTGAGGAAAGAAGATTAAGAAACTTGCCTCCGCCAGGCGTGGTGGTTCACTCCTGTAATCCCAGCACTTTCGGCGGCGAGGCAGGCGGATCACTTGAGGTCAGGAGTTCGAGACCAGCCTGGCCAACATGGTGAAACCCCGGCTCTACTAAAAATGCAAAAATTAGCCGGGCGTAGTGGCACGCGCCTGTAATCCCAGCTACTCTGGAGGCTGAGGCAGGAGAATCGCTTGAACCTAGGAGGCGGAGGTTGCAGTGAGCCGAGATCGCGCCACTACACTCCAGCCTGGGCGACAGCGCGAGACTCCGTCTCAAAAAAAAGAAACTTGCCTTGAGTCCTACATATAGTTTGCTGTAGTAGCAGAATTTGAACTCGGACCGACTAATGGTCTACTTAATAAAATGCTATTTGGATTCTCTATAAAATTAATAATATAGAAGTAATGTTAATTATAGAAAACTTGGAAAATATTAAATTCATTCGATAAAGATTGAATATGTAGCACGTGTGTTTGTCAGATACTGGTCTCGTGAAAATTATATTCTGGTAGGGAAGACAGAAAACAAGTAGGGATAAAGAAATTTTTAAAAGATATTCATAAGTAGTGTCGTGTAGAAAACTGGGTATAGGTTGAGTATCCTTCATCCCAAATGCTTAAGACCAGAACTGTTTCAGATTGTGGCTCTTTATCTTGGGGATGGGGCCAGAGGCTAAACTTGAAATTCATTTATGTTTCGTATACACCTTATGCACATAGCCTCAGGGTAATTTTATGCAATTTTAAAAATTGTGTGTGTATCAAACAAAATTTTGACTACAGCTTTTTACATGCGGTCAGGTGTGGAATTTTCCACTGTGGCATCGTGTTGATGATCAAAAAGTTTTGATTTTGGAGCATTTTAATTTCAGATGGTTGGATTAGGGTTGCTGAACATGTAATGGTATACAGAACAACTGAGTAGGTGTGGTGCTCACGTCTGTAATCCCAGCACTTTGGGAGGCCTAGGCGGGCGAATCACGAGGTCAGGAGTTTGAGACCAGCCTGGCCAACATGGTGAAACCCTGTCTGTACTAAAGATAAAAAAAATTAGCTGGGCGTAGTGGCGGGTGCCTGTAATCCCAGCTGCTAAGAAGGCTGAGGCAGGAGAATTGCTTGAACCCGGGAGGCAGAGGTTGCAGTGAGGCGAGATCGTGCCCCTGCTCTCCAGCCTGGGCAACAGTGCAACACTTCATCTCAAAAAAATAAATAAGAAGTAAAAAATAAATAAAATCGTAGGTATTATCATCTATCGACAATCTGTTCTCCACACTGCAGCCACAGTAATCTTTTTTAGTAGAGGAGAGGTCTTGCTATGTTGCGCAGGCTGGTCTGGAACTCCTGGGCTCAAGTGATCCTCCTGCCTCAGCCTCCCAAGATGCTAGCATTACAGGCATGAGCCAACACCCCTGTCCTATACCTAGGATTTAATGAACATTCAATATGTGGTAGGCAGTATTCTAAGAATTTGAGGCCAGGCACAGTGCCTCATGCCTGTAATCCCAGCACTTTGGGAGGCTGAGGCAGGCAGATCACTTGAGGTCAAGAGTTTGAGATCAGCCTGGCCAACATGGCAAAACCCCGTCTCTACTAAAAATATAAAACTTAGCCGGGTGTGGTGGCAGGCACCTGTAATCTCAGCTACTCGGGAGGCTGAGGCAGGAGAATTGCTTGAACCCAGGAGGCGGAGGTTGCACTGAGCTGAGATGAAGCCTGGGTGAGAGAGATTCCATCTCAAAAAAAAAAAAAAAAAGCCGGGTGCAGTGGCTCATGCCTGTAATCCCAGCACTTTGGGAGGCCAAAGCGGGTGGATCACGAGGTCAGGTTTTTGAGACTAGCCTGGCCAACATAGTGAAACCCCGTCTCTATTGAAAATAGCCAGGTGTGGTGGCAGGAGCCTGTAATCCCAGCTACTCAGGAGGCTGAGGCAGGAGAATCACTTGAACCTGGGAGGCAGAGGTTGCAGTGGGCCGAGATCGTGCCATTGCACTCCAGCCCAGGCGACAGTGCAAGACTCTGTCTCAAAAAAAAAAAAAAAAAAAAAAAGCACGATTATGTGTTAGCTCATTTAATCCTCATAACAGCCTTTGACATAGGTACTACTATTATCCCCTGCTTGGGAAAATCACACACCTAATCAGTGGCAGATTATAGACACGTGCCACCACGCCCGGCTAATTTTTGTATTTTTAGTAGAGTCAGGGTTTCACCATGTTGTGCAGGCTGGTCTCAAATGCCTGACCTCAGGTGATCTACCTGCCTTGGCCTCCCAAAGTGCTGGGATTACAGGCATGAGCCACTGCACCCGGCCTGGAGAGGTACCTTTAAACCATATAAATATCACATTCCTCATTATGCTTGTAATTTGTTTATGTTTGTATTCATATATTCACATGAGCTCATGGTTTATTTCTTCTGATGGGTTATAATTAATTACTACTATTACTTATTTTGATGCTCAAATTTGTCCAGTGGGAACCCTTTTAATCTGTGTGTCATTTCAATGATTCATCCTCATCAATCTTTGGGCACTTTTTCTCTCTGGCACAAGAAGTTCCACACTCATGTATTTTCTCTGCCCCAGCCCTGAATTTAGCCATTTTATCAAAGAGTCTTGGTTCCTTTAGTTGATGTTATGGACTGAATATTCGTGTCCCTCAAATTCATATGTTGAAGCCTTCACCAGCAATGTGATGGTCTTTGGTGATTCAGCCTTTGGGAAGTACCTAGGGTTAGATGAGATAATGAGGATGGGACTGTCATGATGGGATTAATGCCCTTTTAAAAAGGGACACCAGAGAGCTTGTGCTGTCTGCCATACAAGGACACGGTGAGAAGGTGGCCATCTGCAAGCCAGGAAGAAAGCCCTCACTAGAAACCAAACTGGCTGGTACTTTAATCTTGGACTTCCAAGCTTCTAGAACTGTGAGGATAAATTTCTGTTATTTAAGCTGCCCAGTCTATGGTATTTTGTAATGCAGCCCAAGCAGACTAAGACAGTGAAGAATTTGGAAGGCAAGATATGGGTACTTTATGTGCTCATTATTATTGGAGCATAACTGCTCCAAGGCCACCTTGGTGGACAGACTAGGGAATATACATATTTGGACACATACACACGTGTATATTTATATGCTTATATGTCCTCTATTTTTATTTGAGGCAGGATCTCGCTCTGTTGCCCAGGCTGGAGTGCAGTGGTGCGATCTCAGCCCACTGCAACCTCTGCCTCCCAGGTTCAAGTGATTCTCGTGCCTCAGCCTCCCAAGTAGCTGGGACTACAGGTGTGTACCACCACACCTGGCTAATTTTTGTATTTTTACTAGAGATGGGGTTTCGCAGTGTTGGCCAGGCTGGTCTCAAACTCCTGATCTCAAGCGATCTGCCCGCCTCGGCCTCCCAAAGTGCTGGGATTATATGCGTGAGCCACTGTGCCCAGCCGATATTTCATCTATTTTTATAGATTTTAAACCATGAATTCACTTTCTTAAACCCAATTCAAGCTGAACTCCAGGTTTCATTCTAGTTTCCCCCCTTTCTGTATTTATAATTACCTTCTCTGTGGTTAGTATATTCACTTTATTCCATCAAGTCTTTGGTGTGCAACCAATCTACCATCTCTGCTGACACCCTTACCCCATATGGACACCCCTTTCTGTGCTTGAGCTTATTCCTCATTCCAGGTTGCCCCTATCCACCATGTGAATAACTGCCTCAATCTGTCCCTGACACCTCATACCTAGCTGTCCATCATTGTAGACACTGTCTTCACCCTATTAGGTCTCTGACACCCAAATTTGGACTTCCATAGGTCCCCTCTACCCAATGTAAGCACATTGATCTGAACCACTGTGCAAACACGTGCCTGGGACTGCTATCCCCAGAAAGTCCTGCTGGCAAGGTTGGCCCTTGCCAGGCATCTGGGAACTTGAATTTGAGGGGAGATTCCCTCTATTCCCTAACAAGCTTACTATGTCTAACAGTGAGGCTTAACACTTTCACATGCTGTCACTTGTTGCTGGAGTGACATCCTGTGTGACTTCATTAGGAGAGAACCCTTAGAAGCTGGTGCTTGGTTTCCTCTGGACTTCACTTAATTCCTTTTTTCCCTTTGCTGAATTTGCTTCATATCCTTTTGCTCTAATAAATCATTGTTGGGAATAAGACTATATGCTGAGTCCTGTGAGTGCTCCTAACGAATCATCAAACTTGCACATAGTCTCGAGGGCTTAACCACCTAATGACTTTAAAACAATAGTTCTGGCAGGGTGTGGTGGCTCTGCCTGCCTGTAATCCCAGCATTTTGGGAGGCCGAGGCAGGAGGATCACTTGAGCCCAGGAGTTTGAGACTGCAGGGATTTTGAGACTGATTACGCCACTGCTGTCCAGCCTGGGGCAATAGAGACTCTGTCTCTAAAAAAAAACCTCAACCCCCTGAAAAAAAAAAAATCCACAACAGTTCAGGAAGGAGGAAGGTAAGCAATTTAGTGACATTATTAATTTCAGCTCTTCCATCCCACTGTTTTATCTTACACTTCTTTGCTCTGTTTTTCTTTCCTTGATTTCATTTGACTAATCACATAATTCTTAGTGACCCATTTTATCTTCTCTAATGGCTTTTTAGATCTACTGCACCCCAGTGATGGGGTGAGAGATTACAAAATGCATTCTTATCACAATCTACCTTACACTAATGCTATCTCACTTTGTGTACAATATAGTAATATTATCTCAATATAATTACATTTATTGCCCTCTCTGACCCTTCATGCTATTTCTGTCCTATATTTTACTTATACATATATTATAAACACTGCAATACTATTTTTGTTTGCTTTAAACAGCAATGATATTTAGAAAAATAAAAAAGAAAAATGTCTTTCTTATTTACCAACATGTTTATCATTTCAAAATTCTTAATTCCATCCTGGAGATACAGGTTCCCATTGGGAAATCCATTTACTGATAAGTCCATCCAAGGAAAATTTTAATTTCAGATACTACGTTTTTCACTCCAGATTTATATTTTCCTTCAGCCTGAAGAATTTCTTAAAGCATTCCGTATAAAGTCAGTCTGCCAGCAACAAATTCTGTTTTCATCTGGAAAAGATTTTGTCTTAAGTTTTTCAAGAGATAGGGACTCTGTCCCCCAGGCTGGAGTGCAGTAGCACGACCACAGCCCATGCCCAGCTAATTTTATTTTTTGATGGGGTTCTCACTAGGTTGCCCAGGCTGGTCACTCATGGCCTCAAGGGATTCTCCTGTCTCAGCCCCCCAAAGTGTTGGGATTACAGGCATAAGCCACTGAGCCTGGCCATTGCCTTAACATCTTGAAGGATATTTTAACTGGATACAGAGTTTTAAGTTAACCTTTGTTTCATCTTTGCACCTTAAAGATGTCATTCCATCATTTTCTTAATTCCATCATTTCTGATGAGGTTAGCCATCACTCTTGTTTATCTGAATGTAATGCTACTCCTTCCCACTCCCCACCTTGATTGCTTTTAAGATTTTTTTTTTTTTTTTTTTTGGCAATGTGATGTACCCAGATGTAGTCTTTGTTGTATTTATTCTGCTTGGGGATTCAGTGAACTTCTTAGATCTGTACGTTGATGTCTTTCAACACTTTGGGGAAAATTTCACGCATCATTGCTTCAAAGATTTCTCTTGCCCCATTCTCTTCCTTTCCTTCTTTACTTCAAATTACAGGAACTGATAATGTTCCAAAGGTCTCAAACCTCTGCTATTTCTTTTTTCTTTCTCTCTCTGCTTTGGTTTGATACTTACTTGTCTTTTTCAGTCTTTCCTGTTGTGCCTAGTTTACTGTTAAGTCCATCCATTTAAATTTTTAATTTCAGATACTGTAGTTTTCATTACAAGACTTTCCAGTGGGTTATTTTTTATTATTTTCTAATTATTATTATTATTATTTTTGAGACGGTTGCCCAGGCTGGAGTGCAGTGGCGCGATCTGGGCTCATTGCAAGTTCCGCCTCCTGGGGTCATGCCATTCTCCTGCTTCAGCCTCCCGAGTAGCTGGGACTACAGGTGCCCGCCACCATGCCAGGCTAATTTTTTGTATTTTTAGTAGAGACGGGGTTTCACCATGTTAGCCAGGATGGTCTCAATCTCCTGACCTTGTGATCTGCCTGTCTCGGCCTCCCAAAGTGCTGGGATTACAGGCGTGAGCCACCGCGCCCAGCCAATTATTATTATTATTTTTTGAGATGGAGTTTTGCTCTTCTTGCCCAGGCTGGAGTGCAATGGCATGATCTTGGTTCACTGCAACCTCTACCTCCCAGGTTCAAGCAATTCTCCTGCTTCAGCCTCCCAAGTAGCTAGGATTATGGGCATGCATCACCCATGCCCGGCTAGTTTTGTATTTTTAGTAGAGACCGGGTTTCACCATGTTGGTCAGGCTGGTCTTGAACTCCTGACCTTAGGTGATCCACCTGCCTTGGCCTCCCAAAGTGCTGTGATTACGGGCGTGAGGCACGGTGCCTGGCCTCTGTTGGGTTTTCAATTCTTATTTTTCTGCTGAAACTCCCTATCTATTCACCCATTATCTCTTCTTGTAAATTCTTTTAACATATTTTAACGCTATTTTAAAATCACTCTCATAGAGGTCACTTGTGCATCTGCTTCTGTATATTTTCTGTTGAGTATGGTATGGACCACTTTTTTTTTTCCATCAGGGAAGTTGAGTCAAAAGGATCACATAATTTTTCTTTGCATGCTTAGTAACTGTTTATTATGTACTGAGCTTTGGATATATGCTGTGATGACTGAATTGTTTTCTTCTCAAGAATGCTGTGTTTTGTTCTGGTTTTAAATTACTAATGGATAACCTTGATGCTGTGAGATTTGATTTTAAGCTTCATTACAGTAAGTTTATTTCCATTTTGTCCTTAGTGCTGAAGCACAGCCTTTAGTTCTAGGATGCTGTCATTCTTCCTTAAGGCGTGGCATTTTGGGGGTTCAATGGGAAACACCAAGTATTTACTCAGTCCTTCTTAGTGGAACTTGAATTTCAAACTCTCTGTCCTTGGGCAGCTGCAATCGCTGCTGAGTTTTTTAGACTTTAACTTGCTTTCTCCTGGGTTCCTTTAAATAATCACACTGCACCAGCACAATTTTGGAATCCACCAAGGATTTGAAAGGAATATGTAGGCAGATTTTAGAGCTTACTTTCTGAGGCACTCTCCTTCCCAAAATTTCTCTTCTAATTTTCAGGTGTTCTAGAAGTCCCAAATGATTCCTCAGCCTGTCAAAACTGTCACATTCTACCTGAATTCTATATCCAAGTGAACTGCACAAACTGGAAATTGCCCTATGGGTAAAAGCTGGTTAAGGTGAATCTCGTTTACTTTTTATTTTTTGAGACAGGTTCTCTGTAACCTGGGCTGGAGTGTGGTGGTGTGATCTTGGCTCACTGCAACCTCCTCCTCCCGGGCTTAAGCGATCCTCTAACCTCAGCCTCTTGAGTAACCGGGACTACAGGTGTAGGCCACCAAACCTGGCTAATTTTTAGTTTAGTTTTTTTTTTTTTTTTTTTTTTGGCAGAAACAGGGTCTCCCTATATTCCCCAGGCTGGTCTTGAATTCCTGAGTGTAAGCGATTCTCCCATACTGGCCTCCCAAACAGGCATGAGCCACCACACCCAGCCTGAATCTCTTCCATTATAGGACTTTGCAGTTTCTACCTTGTTTTGATTGCTCTGCAGAGCCACCCAATCATTGCTTTCTATATTTTGTTAAGCGTTTATAATTGTTACTAAGAGTCCAATACACACAACTCCTTCATTATCAGACTCCAACCCCTAAAATATCAAAAAGTTTTAAAGTAAAAAAGTAAAGACAAAATAAAGTTTATCATTTATTTCCAATACATTAGGATAAAAACCCACTTTATGCAACTGTACCCTTTAATTCATTTCTTCTGAAGAAAAGTACAAAAGACCAGACTAAAATTGAGACAAGCATTTAAAGGAAAATCCTTTGACTCAGAGTCCAAAACCGAACTGTAAATGGTTCATTTTACCAAAAGAATTAGTTTTTGTACAAAATATAAAGAATTCTACACTATAAACAAAGACGGCTGTATATGTAATTAAATTAGAATTCTAGTATCTGCTTTTCCTCTAATTCTTCTGGAGTACAAACATATTTGCAAGTCAGAAATCTAATATTCTCAATGGACAGACTGTCTTAGAATAAGCTTTTACCCTTAAGATATCTGGAAAGATAGTACTCATTCTTTCCCTTGGCTCAAAGTCCAATATATCAGTAAGTTTTAATTTAGTTTACAAAACTCTGCCATATTAACATGAAGAGCACACTAATGCTTAATGTTTAAGCATTATCTTTTAGGAAGTAATACAACACAGAGCTCAACACCGAATCTAAAAGGTCACAATCTAAGTCATTATTAATTCAGAAAACTTCAGCAACTTCTATCTTTATTGAAAAAGACCAAACCAATCCCTTATCTCCTACTATATCATTACTCTATTTTCATGGCCCTTCTATCAAAGAAACAGCTTAAAATAAAACTTGGTTAGAGTTAAGTCATAGAAAATAGTTCTCTAGCACTAGCTGAAGTTCAGACTTGATCAGGAAAGCAACTTCTATACAGTAATGATTTTCTGACTCAGTGTTTAAGATAGTATTAACCTGACTTTTATCTCTTTTAACATTTGAAATCTTTGTTATCTAAAAGTCTTTCCCAATAGAATTATAACCATGATAGTTTTAAAGGAGACAATATATTAAAAGTTGAGCTGGAACCACATAGTCCTTTAATATGATTAGCCAGTTATCCAAGTATCAATAACGTTAATCTTTTAAATGAAAACAATGAAATTTTATGAGCTTAACTGAAATGTCTTAATTTAGAACTTCTCAATTCTTTTCATCATATATATTTCATTACTACCTTTCGTTATCAGTATTTCATAATTGATGTTGTAATGTTTGAGACCTTAAAGGGATACTACCCATCACCTAACATATGCATAGCTCTGGCTTGAAAAAAATTTTTTTTCCCCTATTTATCTCAACTCTCATTTTTATTATTCAGGGAGTTCCAAAGTCATGATTGGAAGAGACATGATTTACCTTATGGCTACAAACAGCATATGATCCTAAGAAATCATGCATCTTCTGGCTGGGCGCAGTGGCTTATGCCTGTAATCCCAGCACTTTGGGAGGCCGAGGCAGGCGGATCACCTGAGGTCAGGAGTTCAAGACCAGCCTGACCAACATGGAGAAACCCCATCTCTACTAAAAATACAAAATTAGCTGGGGTAGTGGCGCATGCCTGTAATCCCAGCTACTCGGGAGGCTGAGGCAGGAGAATTGCTTGAACCTGGGAGGCGGAGGTTGTGGTGAGTCGAGATTGCGCCATTGCACTCCAGCCTGGGCAACAAGAGCGAAACTCTGTCTCAAAAAAAAAAAAAAACCCAGAAATCATGCATCTTCTATATTCAAACAAATCTTTAACAAGAGCAAGAGTAAAATTAAGAAGAATGTATGTCTTCATTATAAAGTTCTTACCTAGTAGGGGCAAGTTTTTTATTTTAATGTATTCTTTCAAAACCTAAGAAATCTTTCCTAAATGAAAAATTCTTGTTACTACTACAAATATTCTTTCCACTCATGACATTTTACATAGCATCATTTAAGCACCAGAGAAAAGTTCTGTAAACAAACTTTTAACCAGTAAACTAAGGGCAAATATCTATTTGCCTTTATTACAATATTTAAAAGGCCATGATATGAGTCTCTACTCCCTACAATGACATTTTTATAATGAAAATCCAGGCATATTTATACAAACAAATGGAATTACTGTACATTTTGGGAGAACAAAAGGCAGATCAACAGACTAGAACTAGAACTTTTGAGTTAATAAAGCAAGCAGAAGGAACTAGAAAAATGTATGCCATGTATAAAAATTCAGTTTTTTTAAAGTTTCATTGAAGGGATTAATAATTATTAAGAATAAAAGATGGTAGTTCCACTTGCTTATAATTATCCTGTAAAATTAAGAAAGTAATAAGCAATAAATTAGAAATGTCTTAGTTCCTAGTATTTCCCTTCTCTTGCACTGGAAACATTTTCACAGCAGTTAAAATTGGCTCTCTTAAATATCAGAATAATTCTTGCAGAAAATAAATTCCATCAGGAAGAAGTTAACAGTCTACAACAGATTTCTGACAAATACATTAGAAAAAAAAATACTGCAGGTCACATGAAGACTGATCTACATGTTATATGACAGAGTAACTCAAACCTTCAAACCTTCTCTATTTTACCATATTTGCTTTTTTGCTATTATATTGCTATCTAAACTGTTTGGTAGCAAGGTAATAGAAAAATAAAAGGTAAAAAGAACACAACAATTGTTTAATGTCTGTAGATTTATGAAGAAGAAACTCTCAAAATAAACTTTTTCCTATTACAGTTACTTAGGAAAAAAGTTTCATTTGGCACACTGAATTTATAAAACGAAAAAAGAAAATAAACTTAAGAGTGTTTGGCATTCCAATCACCTGTAGTTAAGACAACAGTAGAAAAGAAAAGTAGGAGAAATTACTATTTTAAGAAAAAACATCAGAAGACAAACAAACAAATGTTCTTGTGTCTTCTACCATTCACTGTTCCTGGAATACTTTCATCTGCAACACAATATACAAATTATTATTTACATTATGATTATATTGGTAAAGAAGACCAGAATCAGGTTTTGTTGTGCTCTAACTTAGTGTCCATTGGGATAACTGTGACCATCAAGGCAAGGCCTTAAACAACAAAAAATTACATTTGCATTGTATATTTTGTTTAAGTCTGTTTTCTGGTTCATCTTCAAGTTTGGTGCACAAATATGTAAGACTCTAAAAAGTCCTGTAAACTTAGGCTGTTTCTGTAGCCGATGACGTTCATTGAAGATCTTGTGTTTCCTCTTTTAAGTAAAATGTTCTGCAGGTTTACAAAGGTATTTCCTTAAACAGTGGTATCTCCAAAGTCCTTGTTCCAACGTATGTACGCTTCTAAAGTTTGAGGGCTGACGCTGCGTTTTATTTTTTTCAAGGATTCAGTGAAGTCAGATAATCGAATATTTCTCATCTAGATTTTTAAAAAGCACATGACAATACAAATGATCAACAGGTATATGGTGGTTAACGAAATGATGGATTAAAGTAATGATGCTGCTGTTTCTTAATGTTATAAAAAATATACGTGTATGTATTCTTAGAAAATTATGTCAGCCATTTAAATATATTTTCTATGTTGATCTGCTACACAAGAAACCTTAATAAATGCTATACTAATATATTTATTACTTGTGTTTAGTTTCATAGGTATTAACATTTGAAAGCATAATATTTTTCCAATATAAAAACAAAACACAATCATTTATAGAAAAGTTCAAAAATACAGACAAAGAGAAAAAAAGAATCACAATTTCACCACTCAGATATGCAACCTCCCCCTCCAAGGTTCAAGCAATTCTTCTGTCTCAGCCTCCCGAGTAGCTGGGATTACAGGCACATGCCTCCATGCCCAGCTAATTTTTGTATTTTTAGTAGAGACAGGGTTTCGCCATGATGGCCAGGTTGGTCCTGAACTCCTAACCTCAGGTGATCCGCCCACCTTGGCCTCCCAAAGTGCTGGGATTACAGACGTGAGCCACTTTGCCCAGCCTAAAGTATGCATTTTTATATTAATTTGGTCTTATTTTCTGATCTTTTAAATTGCCTTTGGAAATATAGATTAAAACAATGCTGAGTTAATGAATATCTATATTTACACCTAAGTATTTTTAAAAGGCAAAATGGATAGGTTCACAGAGTCCAGGCAATAGAAAAATTAATAAAAATTTTGGCCAAGCACGGTGGCTCACACCTGTAATCCCCGCACTTTGGGAGGCCAAGGCGGGTGGATCACCTGAGGTCAGCAGTTCGAGACCAGCCTGGCCAACATGGTGAAACCCCGTCTCCACTAAAAATACAAAAATTAGCCAGGCAGGTGCCTGTAATCCCAGCTACTCAGGAGGCTGAGGCAGGAGAATCGCTTGAACCTGGGAGGTGGAGGTTGTAAGTGAGCCGAGATCGTGCCATTGCACTCCAGCTTGGGCAATGAGTGAGACTCCCTCTCAAAAAAAAAAAAAAAAAAAAAAATTAAGGCAAAATGCAGTTTGGCATAAATGACCTGTGTTAAAAATCATTTCTAGCGTATACCTGTATTTTGGCCCAAAAATAAGAAGTTAAAGAACTTTAAACAAAACTCCAACAACTGGTATTTATCCGTATTTTAAAAACTACTCTTAAAAACCCAATCTAACTTCATATCATCTTTGATATCTCCATGAGATATCACCTACACTTGTAACTTGTAAACTAATCTGAAAAATTTTAGCCAAAAAGAAAAAAACATATAGTTAAAATATAGGCTGGCTGCAGTGGCTCGCACCTGTTAATCCCAGAACTTTGGGAGGCTGAAGCAAGTGGATCACTTGAGCCCAGGAGTTAGAGACCAGCCTGGGCAACATGGCAAAGCCTCATCTCTACAAAATGTACAAAATTTAGCTAGGCATGGTGGCGCACGCCTGTAGTCTCAGCTACTAGGGAAGCTGAGGTGGGAGGATCACTTGAGTCTGGGAGGTTGAGGCTGCAGTGAGCCATGAGCATGCCAATGTATTTCAGCCTGGGAGACAGAGTGATACCCTGTCTCAAAAAAAAAAACCCCAAAAACCCAGCAACCCCCCACCAAAGAAAACCCCATAAGCACTATATGAACCCTACTTGTTTCCTATTTAACTGTAACACACACACTGCCTCTTCCTAAAGGCCAAAGTGTAGAAGAATAATGAATGTAACATGGGTATTAAACATGATATTACTAAATAAAATTTATTTGTTATAGAAATTAATATTTTTGTTTTGAGACAGGGTCTCACTGTTACCCAGGCTGGAGTGCAGTGGCATGATCTCGGCTCACTGCAACCTCTGCCTCCCAGGCTTAAGAGATCCTCCCAAGTAGCTAGGACTATAGGTGTGCGCCACCACGCCCAGCTAACTTTTTGTAATTTTTGTAGAGATGAGGATTTCACCATGTTATCCAGGCTGGTCTCGAATTCCTGAGCTCAAGGGATCCAATGGCCTGAGCCTCCCAAAGTGCTGGGATTATAGGCATGAACAACCACGCCTGGCCAGAAATTAAGGTTTTAAAAGATGTTGATGTAATTGTACTTTAAGTCTATAGTTTGATATGTGTATATATATGAAACTTATATGATATTTTAACGTAAGAGACTAATGTATACAACAGGAAAAAGGCAGATGGTAGCTGGTTCAGTTAAGGGGGGAAATAAGTAGAAAAGTTGTCTTATCAAACCAAAATAATAAAGGACTTAAAGTTAAATTAGATACACAAGGTACTTAAAAAACAAAGTATATTGTACCCCAATTTATAACCAACAATTTTAGTACTAACCTTAAAAATACAGAAATTCCAAACCAATTATTTGAACTTCTACTATTATAAACTGTAAAAGATAAGTTGGGTTTTTCTTTTTTTTTTTTTTGGAGATGGAGTCTCGCTCCTGTCGCACAGACTGGAGTGCAGTGGTACGATCTCAGCTCACTGCAACCTCCACCTCCCCAGGTTCAAGCAATTCTCCTTCCTCAGCCTCCCGAGCAGCTGGGATTACAGGCATGTGCCACCACGCCCGGCTAATTTTTGTATTTTTAGTGGAGACGGGGTTTCGCCACGTTGGCCAGGCTGGTCTCGAACTCAAGACCTCAGGTGATCCAACTGCCTCGGCCTCCCAAAGTGGTAGGATTACAGGCGTGAGCCACTGTGTGCGACCAAGTTGGGTTTTCCTTACCTAAATTTATATATATTCACCGGTAACTGACAATACACTTTGGTATTAAAGTTGCATCAAATAATGGGTATATAAAATTCTAGTATACAGTTTTAGAGAGCAAACTACTTGTGTTTACGTCTCATCCCATAAATGGAAATGAGAGAATGGATTACCTTAATCTCTATAATAAAATGCCACTATCAGTTTTATATTTTTTAAAGTTATTTAATGGATCTTTACATAGTGTTTACTACGTGCCAGCTACTTTAAGTGCTTTATAAATATTAACTCATAAGTAAGCAATAACAGCTAAAGGTCATTATCAAATTATTAATACCAAAACCACTAGATTAAAAAGAAACAACTGAATGAAAGTATATAGTAGAGCCAGGCATGGTGGCTCACACCTGCAATCCCAGCACTTTGGGAGGCCGAGGTGGGCGGATCTCCTGAGGTTGGGAGTTCCAGATCAGCCTGACCAACATAGTGAAACCCCGTCTCTACAAAAACACAAAATTAGCCAGGCATAGTGGCGCATGCCTGTAATCCCAGCTACTCAGGAGGCTGAGGCAGGAGAATCACTTGAACCCAGGAGGCGGAGGTTGCAGTGAGCCGAGATTGCACCATTGCACTCCAGCCTGGGCAACAACAGCGAAACTCAGTCTCAAAAAAAAAAGTATACAGTAGAACCAAATATTGTAACAATATAACCTGAATATATATAATTAATGGGATGCTCACAAAAGGGACCAGTAATATTCTTCCTTGTAAATCACTCAGTAGTTTTATTAAGCTTTAATTTTTAGTTTTACCATCTAAATTTTTAATAAATAATGTTATGACTTTTAAAAAATGGTGGATAAAATTATATTTTTAGGTGTGGGATTAAAAATTTCAAGTCTGGCACGGTGTCACACCTGTAATCCCAGCATTTTGGGAGGTGCAAGTGGGAGGAATGCTTGAGGAATCTGAGACCAGCCTAGGCAACATAGTGAGACCCCATCTCTACAAAAAATTAAAAATTTAGCTGAGTGTGGTGGTACATGCCCGTAGTCCCAGCAACTCAAAAGGCTGAGGCAGGAGGATTGCCTGAGCCCAGGAGCTAGAGGGTGCAGTGAGCCATGATTGTACCACTGCACTCCAGCCTGGGCAACCAAGTGAGACACTGTCCCAAAAAATAAAATAAAAATAAATTAAATTAAATTAAATTAAATAAGTTAGAAAACTAAAAGCTTTCAGCCGGGCGTGGTGGCTCATGCCTGTAATCCCTAGCACTTTGGGAGGCCAAGGTGGGCGGATCCCAAGGTCAGGAGATCGAGACCATCCTGGCCAACATGGTGAAACTCTGTCTCTACTACAAATACAAAAAAAAAAAAAAAAAAAAAAAATTAGCTGGGCGTGGTGGCGTGCACCTGTAGTCCCAGCTACTCGGGAGGCTGAGGCAGGAGAATCACTTGAACCCAGTAGGCGGAGGTTGCAGTGAGCTGAGATCACACCACTGCACTCCACTCCAGCCTAGAAACAGAGCAAGACTCCATCTCACAAAAAAAAAAAAAGAAAGAAAGAAAACTAAAAGCTTTCTTAAAAAAAAAAATTCAAGTATGGTGCCTCATCCGACAGGCGAATAAAAGCCTGAAAAAAAAAAACAAACAAACTCCAAAATGTACTTGAATACACTTGTTATCTGTGTTAACAGTTCACTGTCCCCTCAACAGCTGCTGCAATTAGGGAAATAAAAAATAAGTTACAAATATACAGCTGTCCCTCAGTATCTCTCGGAAATTGGTTCCCCCATAGATAGCAAAATCCGCAAACGCTTAAAGTCCCTTATGTAAAATGGTGCAGTATTTGCATACAACCTACACAATCCTCCTGTATACTTTAAATCATCTCTAGATTACTTATAACACCTAATACAATGTAAATGCAATGTAAATAGTTTTTATACTATATTGTTTAGGGAATAATAACAAGAATAAAAGTCTGTACATGTTCAACACAGATGCTTTTTTCCCCCAAGTATTTTTGATCTGCAGTTGGTTGAATCCATGAATGCAGAATCCACGGATAGAAAAGGCTGACTGTAATTCAAGCCTGATTTCAAAATTTTGCTCACAGAGTTATGACCATTCTGCATACCCAATTTTATATTTTACATGCAACTTTTTTCAAATGAAATGCTTCAGCATCTCATAAGGAGGTCTTCCATATTAAGAAACGGTAATAAATTGGCCAGGCATGGTGGCTCACGCCTGTAATCCTTGCACTTAGGGAGGCCGAGGCTGGCGATCGCCTGAGGTCAGGAGTTCGAGACCCACCTGGCCAACATAGTGAAACCCCATCTCTACTAAAAATACAAAAAAAAAAAAAATTAGCTGGGCGTGGTGGCCCATGCCTGTAATCTCAGCTACGCAGGAGGCTGAGGCAGGAGAATCGCTTGAACCTGGGAGGTGGAGGCTGCAGTGAGCCAAGATGGTGCCACTGCACTGCAGCCTGGGTGACAGAGCCAGAGTCCTTCTCAAAAAAAAGAAATTAATTAAAAAAATAAAGGTTATTGAAAAACAAAATAGAACATTATTAAAGGATTAACGTATAGTTATAGGTTATTTTTATTGTATAAACCCCCACAAGTTTCATGTAATTTTTTTTTTTTTGAGACTGGGTCTCACTCTGTCGCCCAGGCTAGAGTGCAATGGGGCAATCTTGGCTCACTGCAACCTCTGCCTCCCAAGTTCAAGTGATTCTCCTGCCTCAGCTTCCCAAGTAGCCAGGACCACAGGCACGTGCCACCATGCCCAGCTATTTTTTTTTTTTTTTGAGATGGAGTCTTGCTCTGTCGCCCAGGCTGGAGTGCAGTGGCACGATCTCGGCTCACTGCAAGCTCCACTTCCCAGGTTCACGCCATTCTCCTGCCTCAGCCTCCCAAGTAGCTGGGACTACAGGTGCCCGCCACCACGCCCCGGTAATTTTTTTGTATTTTTTAGTGGAGACAGGGTTTCACCATGTTAGCCAGCATGGTCTCGATCTCCTGACCTCGTGATCCGCCCGCCTCGGCCTCCCAAAGTGCTGGGATTACAGGTGTGAGCCACCGCCCCCGGCCTAATTTTTTTGTATTTTTGATAGAGACAGGGTTTCACCATGTTGGCCAGGCTGGTCTTGAACTCCTGACCTCAAGTGATCTGCCCACCTCGGCCTCCCAAAGTGCTGGGATTACAGGCGTGAGCCACCGCACCCGGCCTGTAATTTTCTTCTGTTTGGTATTTATGTAATATGATTTGATAGAAAATGACTTTATGTATATATGTTTTGTCTATTACCAAAAAAAATTTTGACTATTTCATAGGTTTCCATATTTTGAAATGAAGCAAAGTTAATTTTTTCTAGCTTCTAATCAACTAGAAAAATCCATTAAAAAAAATTAGTCCCAAGCACTCTGAGAGACTGAGGCAGGAGGATTACTTGAGGCCAAGAGTCTGAGACCACCCTGGGCAACAGGGAGAGACACCATCTCTACAGAAAATTAAAAAATTAGTGGGGCGTTGTGGCACTTGCCTGTAGTCCCAGCTACTAAAAAGTTTGAGACAAGAGGACTGCTTGAGACCAAGAGGTCAAGGCTACAGTCAGCCACGATTGCACCACTGCACTCCAGCCTGAGAACAGAGCAAGACCCTGTGTCTCAAAAAAAAAAAAAAAAAAAGGCCGGGCGCAGTGGCTCACGCCTGTAATCCCAGCACTTTGGGAGGCTGAGGCAGGCAGATCACGAGATCAGGAGACAGAGACCATCCTGGCTAACACGGTGAAACCCCGTCTCTACTAAAAGTACAAAAAATTAGCCAGGCGTGGTGGTGGGCGCCTGTAGTCCCAGCTACTAGGGAGGCTGAGGCAGGAGAATGGCGTGAACCCGGGAGGCAGAGCTTGCAGTGAGCTGAGATCGCACCACTGCACTCCAGTCTGGGCGACAGAGTGAGACTCCGTCTCAAACAAACAAACAAACAAACAAACAAACAAAACAGCCAGATGCAGCGGCTCAAGCCTGTAATCCCAGCACTTTGGGAGGCCGAGTTGGGTGGATCACTTGAGGTCAGGAGTCTGAGGCCAGACTGGCCAACATGGTGAAATGCCCTCTCTACTAAAAATACAAAAATTAGCTGGGCTTGGTGGTACATGCCTGTAGCTACTTGGGAGGCTGAGGCAGGAGAATAGCTTGAATCCAGGAGGTGGAGGTTGCAGTGAGCCGATATCATGCCAGACTGTCTCAAAAAAAAAAAAAAAAAAAAAAAAACCACACACACACACATTCATATATGTATGTCTTATATATGTCTTACAATATAGAAGACAAAGAAAATATCATTGTAAAATACTATACCTCACTGGCAGACATATTCTTCACCTGTTCTGGTTTTAGTTCTGTAAAACATAAAAGTCAGGCACTTAAAAATACATACATTTTGCAGTTGAAATTGTTGAAGGGCAAAACCAAGTACAATGATCTACATGTATCTATTCAGTACAAATCATTATATTAAAAAAAAGAGACACATGTTAACTTTGAGAGCAAATACAATTTATAAATGCTGAGAAGAGAATATTCCTTCTTTGGAATAACTGGAAAGTGTTCAATTTCTTGCATACTGCCCAAAAACAATAGTTCACAAATTTGAAAGGGAACTTAAAAGAATGCAACTTGTTCTTTACAAAATGCATTAGTCTTTTTTTGTTTTTACTCTGCACTTTATGTATTTACTTTTTTTTTTTTTTTTTTTTTTTTTTTTTGAGACAGAGTCTTGCTCTGTTGCCCAGGCTGCAGTGCTCGGCTTACTGCAACCTCACCTCCCAGGTTCAAGCGATACTCCTGCCTCAGCCTCCTGAGTAGCTGGGATTACAGGTGCGCACAACCACGCCTGGCTAATTTTTGTATTTTCAGTAGAGATGCGGTTTCACCATATTGGCCAAGCTGGTCTCGAACTCCTGACCTCATGATCCACCCATCTTGGCCTCCCAAAGTGCTGGGATTACAGGCGTGAGCCACCGTGCCTGGCCTATTTATTTACTTTTTAAGACAGCACCTCACTATGTCACCCACCCAGGCTGGAGTGCAGTGAGTGGCATGACCATGGCTCACTGCTGCCTGCACCTTCCAGGCTCAAGTGATCCTCCTACTTCAGACTCCCGAGTAGCTGGGATTACAGGCTCATGCCAACGGGCCTGGTTAATTTATTATATTTTTTTGTAGAGACAGGATCTCCCTATGTTGCCCAGTCTAGTCTCAAACTATTAGGCCCACACGATCCTCCCACCTTGGCCTCCCAAAGTGCTGGGATTATAGGTGTGAGCCACTGCACCCGGCCATTTTCTGTACTTTAATGGATGCGAATCTTTTTTTAAACCCAAATTTTGTCTACCTTAGAATAGCCAAAACGTTCTAAGAAAATACAACTCATTTATGCATTAGCTACTGTTTCTAAATCCACTAACTGAACAAGATTTAAGCTCCAGCAGCAAGAAAATTTGTTCATCCAGAGTTTCAAAATATACTCTCAAGATTACATTTTTTATTTTGCAAAGTAGCAGTTCTTAATCAGCACCCTATTTCACTACGGGAGGTGTTACTGGTAATTTTTAACTAGTAAAACAAAAAGGTTTGTATAATGTAGGCTTTTAATGCAAATTACAGTAGACACTATGATAACATCTTTCTCGTACAACTACATTCAATTGTACTTTCTTGAATGAGAGAAAGGGATGGAGCTATTATGATTACTTTATCATCATAGCTAATAATCTGAGTGCATACCTGAGAGCATCAACCATCCACTACCGATGCTGGCTGTGGAAATGTAGCTGAAAATATCTGTGTGAGTTTATCCTAACCTAACCTAAAAAGAATTGGTCGTGGTATTTCAGAATCAACCAAGTAACCTGAATAAAAACATAGCAATAAATATTTTGCTGCAATCCCTCAAAAGATATAATTAAAAAAGTGAAAACTTCTCTTATAGAATTTCCTTTAGACACATTAATTTCAAATGATGTCAGAATACTGAAAAGAGCCAGAAAACAGATAAGAACATTTTCCTTACATTATTCTTTTTTGTTTAAAGTTTTCTTTTTGAGTTTTCTGCTGCTTACTTACTATCAAGAAATGAAACCTCTTGCCTAGAACAGGGGTCACAGTCTACTGGCTCATAGACTGTTTTTGTATGATCTGTGAGCTAAGAATGGTTTTAAGGCTGGGCATGGTGGCTCATGCCTGTAATCCCAGCACTTTGGGAGGCCAAGGCAGGCTGCTCACTTGAGCCCGGGAGTTCAAGACCAGCTTGGGCAACATGGTGAAACCCTGTCTCTACAAGAAATAAAATAAAATAATTATCTGGGCATGATGGTGCATGCCTGTAGTCCCAGCTACTGGGAAGGCTGGGTGGGAGAATCACCTGAGCCTGGGGGGTTCGAGGCTGCAGTGAACTATGATTGTGCCACTGCACTACAGCCTGGGCAACAGAGTGAGACCCTGTCTCCAAAAGAAAAAAAAAATCTCTTGGTAGATTTTTTTGGACTTCTTAAACTTCTAAGGTGGTATAATAAATAGTTCTAAATGTTTTAAGCTCTTGTATACCTACCTCGGATAGGACCCAGTGCTGCATCTTTTGCCAAAGCTGTTAGGTCACTTCCTGAGTATCCATCAGTCATTCTGAGGAAGGGAAGGAAGAAACAGCAAATTATTTCCCCTCCCGCTTTTTTTTGAGATGGAGTTTTGCTCTTGTTGCCCAGGCTGGAGTGCAATGGCATGATCTCAGCTCACTGTGATCTCCACCTCCTGGAGCGATTCTCCTACCTCAGCCTCTCAGGTAGCTGGGATTATAGGCATGCGCCACCGCACCTGGCTAATTTTTTTTTTGTATTTAGTATAGATGGCGTTTCGCCATGTTGGTCAGGCTGGTCTCGAACTCCTGACCTCAGGTGATCCACCCGCCACAGCCTCCCAAAGTAGTGAGATTACAGGCATGAGCCACCGCACCCAGCTGAAACAGCAAATTATTTTCATCTCTGCAGATTTAAAATCTCCATATAATAAGAGTAAAAACTAGTTTCCCTTTGTCAGCAAACCCATAGTTATGAGGGTTTGATTTTAAGGGAATAGAAAGGCCCATTTGCTGAAAACAAATGTAGTAATGCCTCAAATTTTAATCATTAGAACCATTCCTTTAGATTAAGGCATACTATCTCCAGAGGCTTCATTAAATTGTAAACATGTCACCTGGAAAGGTAACATCTACAAACTACTGGTGGCCAACTGACACATAAACACAATTACTTCTCTAATTAGCGTTTATCTTGGCAAAGAACACTCTCTTGATGGGATAAGGGACAATCAATGTACATTTTTTTAAATAAGGGGATAGACAGAAAGGTCTGGAGTAGAA
This sequence comes from Homo sapiens, assembly GCF_000001405.40. NCBI lineage: Eukaryota > Metazoa > Chordata > Mammalia > Primates > Hominidae > Homo > Homo sapiens. Next base: position 32,144,203 of record NC_000002.12, on the reverse strand, counting down.
GAGACTTCCAAGTAATTTGTTCTTTTGTCATAGGTATCTGGGAACTCAGAGTTCTTGTTAAAATTATTCAATACTCACATACTCATTGAATACTTTATATTACTTTATGACATTTTTCAGGGAATAAAATTCATGAGCGCATCTCCTATACTCAGTTTCTACTTCACACTGTTCATAAAGTTTAAGATTATTCAAATAGCTGAAATTAAAATTATTAAAATTATCAAATAATTAAAATTATTAAAAGAGCTGAAAAGTATTCAGCATATGCCAAGAACAAGTTTATATAAAAATATCTGTGTTAGTGTGCAATATGAAATGTTTAAAATTTTTTTTGAGACAGGGTCTCACTCTGTTGCTCAACCTCCACCTCCCGGGCTGAAGCGATCCTCCCACATCAACCTCCCAAGTAGCTGGGACTACAGGTATGTGCCACCATTCCTGACTCATTTTATTTTTTGTAGAGATGGGGTTTTACCATGTTGCCTAAGGTGTAAATGTTTAAATTACTTTAATACCACTTACAGGTTTTAATAAATTTATAAAAAGAATATACTATCATCATTAGATCACGTCTTGCAAAGGACATAGCCAGTGAAATTTAGATTCCACATATATATATAAGAACAAGAGGTAAGAAAAAGGCAAAGGAGGTAGAGGATGAGAGAAAGTCTTCTGATCAATGAATTACTCATTTCATACTTAAGATTACTTTAAATAACTAAAAAAAGAATTATTTACAAAAAATAAATAAAAGCTGTAAGATAAACCAAATCCAAATTACTCACCTAGCAAGTTGTGCTAGTTCTTTTTGGGTCAATGGACTTCCTTGTTTACATAACAGATTTTTAAGCAAAAGTAGTCTTGTCTGAAAAATATTAAAAAATGATCATTCAGTCTAATTTCAGAATTAATGATTCTTTTCTTTTTTTATATTGAGACAGGGTCTTGTGCTGTTACCCAGGCTGGAGTGCAGGGCACAATCATAGCTCACTATAGCCTCGATATCCTGGGTTCAAGCAATCCTCCCATCTCAGCCTCCCGAGTAACTGGGACCAAAGGCACGTGCCACCATGCCTGGTTAATTTCTAAAAAAGTTTTTGTAGAGACAGGGTCTCCCTATGTTGCCCAGGCTGGTCTTGAATTCCTGGCTCAAGCGATCCTCCCACCTCAGCCTCCCAAAGTGTTGGGATTATAGGCGTGAGACACCACACCTGGATAAAAACATAGCAATAATTCACCACACTTGAATAAAAACATAGCAATAAATATTTTGCTGCAAAAAACCAGTTTTATAGAGGTATGAATTCATCTACTATGAATTTCACCCATTGTAAGTATATAATTCAATGAGTTTTAATACATTTATAGATGTGCAATCATCACCACAATCCAGTTTTAGAACACTTTTTAGTTCACTCATACCTGTTTGCAGTTAATCCTCATTCCCAACTCTCACCCTGACAACCCACTGATCTGCTTTACGTTTCTAGAAATTTTCGATTTCTGGCCGGGCACGGTGACTCATGCCTGTAATCCCAGCACTTTGGGAGGCTGAGGAGGGCGGATCACACCATCCTGGCTAACACAGTGAAACCCGTCTCTACTAAAAACACAAAAAATTAGCCAGGCCTGGTGGCACATGCCTGCAGTCCCAGCTACTCAGGAGGCTGAGGCAGGAGAATCACTTGAACCCAGGAGGTGAAGGTTGCAGTGAGCCGAGATCACGCCACTGCACTCCAGCCTGAGCGACAGAGCAAGACTCCATCTCAAAAAAATAAATAAATAAAAAATAAATTTGCGTTTTCTGCATATAAACAGAATCCTATGATATGCGACATATATCATCTTGCTTCTTTCACTTATAATGTTTTGGAGTTTCATTCATAAAACTTAATATATGAAGTGAGTATGCAGCATGTATAATGGATAACAGTATCCATTAAATGAATATACCACATTTGTTTATTCACCAAAATAAACATTTTAGATCATTTGTAGTTCTGGCTATTATTAATATTGCTGCTATAAAAATTCTTGTACAAGTCTTTGTGTGGACATACATTTTTGTTTCTCTGGGGTAAATTCTTAGGAGTGAAATTGCTGGCTCTGACAGTAAGCTTATGTACATCTTTTTAAGAAACCACTAAACTGTTTTCCAAAGTAGCTGTACCATGGATTGGAAGACTTAATATTGTCAAGATGGTAGTTCTTGTTTCTGCTCTAAAACAAAAAAAATTCAAACACAGATACATACCTCCTCATTTGGTAAAGACACATATACCCGTTTGATGAAACGCCTAAAAAAAAAAATCCAGCACTTTTAGAAATATAATTTTGAATTTAAAGCTGAAACAGCAAATGACAGGAAAAGCTTTTAAAATATAATATTCAAGGCACTGGAATGCATTTTGGTAGTTATCAATGTAAAAATATTTTTGTTACTCTTTTAAAACTCTAGTTAATGTTTAAAATCCTTAATTCGGTATTGTTAGAATTAATCATTTATGTATGTATATGTTTTTAATAGCAGTAATGCTTTAAAACAAACAAAATATCTGATATAAGTAGATCTGTCTTCTTGAATCTGAAAAAAACTAAAATCAGCAAGGATAATAGAAACAGAAACATACACTTCATCAACAAACTAGGTAACATTTATGGAACTAAAATACATAAAGGTGAACTGCCTAGGGCAGTGAAAATTACACTGACAAAGGAAGACACACAAAGGATCTGCCGCTAAAGATCATGGACATGACTGTCAGAGTACAGTTTTCCTCCCAAAAAGAGATAGCACACCCTAAAGGGTAATAAGGCCAGTCCCTCCACATTTAAACAAGCATATGAAGCCTGGCTCTGCAGACCATATAAACCCTAATTGATAGCATAGGAATGGCAAGGAAGGTGAGAATGAACAAAGAAACTCTAAGACGAATTATCTTTATAAGAAGGCATCTAACAGTCTGGCGGGAAGACAATGTCTTGCAGTGACCAATATTTTTTAGTAGAAGAATAAATCAACCCTATCTCTTATTTACATACACATATACTTCATTATTAGGTAGGGCTTCACTGTAAGTGAGGGAGGCTGCATGCTAGTTTAGTGTATACATGGACTACTCAAGATACCTATCCCTTCCCCTACAATATCCTTCCAAAACTAGGTTTTCCAAGAAAACTCCTTTTATTCAAAGAAAAATAATAAGCAAAAAAGGAAAAACCAGGACAGGGCTCATTTAAAAAAAAAAAAAAAAAAACAACAACAACAAAACCTGCCCCCAAAAAAGAGCAAACAAAACACAATAAACATAAACTAGATAAAATGAAGAACATGCATGAGAAGATTTTGCCATAGAGCAAACTAAAATTATGACCAAGTATCTTTCCACGAAATAAAATAATTTAATTTTTTAAAAATTTAATTTTTTTTATCCTTAAGTTTTTTTTATAGATATGGGGTTTTGCCACGTTGGCGAGGCTGGTCTGGAATTCCCGGCCTCAAGTGATCTGGCCTCCCAAAGTGCTGGGATTACAGGTGTGACCCACCATGACGCCTGACCAAAAAATTTTTTCTTTTTTTTTTTGAGACAGAGCCTTGCTCTGTCCCCCAGGCTAGAGTACAGTGCCGCCGTCTTGGCTCACTGCAACCTCTGCCTCCTGGGTTCAAGCGATTATCAGCCTCCTGAGTAGCTGGGATTACAGGTGTGTGTGACCACACCCAGCTAATTTTTTGTATTTTTAGCAGAGACAGGGTTGTACTATGTTGGCCAGGCTGGTCTCAAACTCCTGGCCTCAAGTGGTCTGTCCTTGCCAAAAAATTGTTTTCTATGAAACAAGAGCCCAGTGAAATGTAAGAGCTTATGGAAATAACATACAGATGCTCAAAGAAATAAAACAGAAGATGAAAAGTAGAATAACAGATGTCAGGAAAGTAATGAATAAAAAACCACCAAGGAAAGAAGAGTTACAAAAGATATAGCAGAAAGGAGATTAGATACTAACCCAGTAAGAAATAAAGGCAACAGGCTTGGGAAAACAGAACAAAACAAAAAGACCTAAGAGTTTAAAAGGATGAAGAAGAAAATTACAGATAGGGAAAACAAAAGGACGCAACATAACACATAATTTATGTGCAAAAGAAAACAGAAAAATGAACTAGGGAAAAAAATTAAGATAAATTTCCCATTTTAACGATATTGATTCTTCCAATCCATGAGCATGGAGTGTTTTTCCATTTATTTGTGTCACCTCTGATTTATTTTAGCAGTGCTTTACACTTCTCCTCATACAGATTCTTTCACCTCCTTCATCAGCCGTATTCCTAGGTACTCCATTGTCTTTTTTTTTTTCTTTTTTTTTTTTTAATTTTGGAAACGGATTCTTGCTCTTTCACACCCAGGCTGCAGTGCAGTGGCACGATCTCGGCTCACTGCAACCTATGCCTCCTGGGTTCAAGCAATTCTCCTGCCTCAGCCTCCCGAGCAGATGGGATTACAGGCGCCCACCACCACGCCTGGCTAATTTTTTGTATTTTTAGTAGAGACGGGGTTTCACCATGTTGGTCAGGCTGGTCTCGAACTCCTGACCTCAGGTGATCCACCTGCCTCAGCCTCCCAAAGTGCTGGGATTACAGGCATGAGCCACTGTGCCCAGCCATTATTTCATTTTCTTTGTGGCTATTGTAAATGGGACTGTGTTCTTGATTTGACTCTTAGCCTGGACATTATTAGCGTATAGAAATGGTACTAATTTTTTGTACACTGATTTTGTATCCTGAATCTTGGGGTAAAATCATTTATCAGTTCTAGTAGCCTTTTGACGGAATTTTTAGGGTTTTCAAAGTATAGAATCATATTGCCAGTGAAGAGTGAGAGTATGATGACTTCTTTTCCTATTTGGATGCCTTTTGTTTCCTTCTCTTGCCTGATTTATCTGGTCGTAAAATGACTATACTGCCCAAAGCAATTTACAGATTCAATGGTATTTCTATCAAACTATCAATGTTGTTTTTCACAAAATTAGAAAAAAATATTCTAAAATTCATATGGAAGCAAAAAAAGAGTCCAAATAGACAAAGCAATCCTAAGCAAAAAGAACAAAGCTGTAAGTATCACGTTACCTGACTTTAAACCGAACTACACAGCAGCCCAAACAGCATAATTCTGGTATAAAAACAGACACACAAACCAAAGGAACAGGACAGAAAATTGAGAAATAAAGCCACACACCTATAACCATCTGATCTTTGATAAGACTGACAAAAACAAGCAATGAGGAAAAGGACTCCCTATTCAATAAATGGCATGGGGATTACTGGCTAGCCATATGTAGAAAAATGAAACTGGACCCTTACTTTTCACCATATACAAAAATTAACTCAAGGTGGATTAAAGATTTAAATGTAAGATCTCAAAGTATAAAAATGCTAGAAGAAAACTAGGAAATACACTTCTTGACATCAGCCTCAGAAAGAAATTTTGGCTAAGTCCCCAAACACAATTGCAACAAAAATAAAAATTGACAAGTGGGACCTAATTAAACTAAAGAGCTTCTGCACAGCAAAAAGAACCATCAACAGAGTAAACAGACAATCTACAGAACTGCATCTAACAATGGTCTGATATCCAGAATCTATAAGGAATTCAAACAATTGAACAAGCTAAAAACACACAACCCTATTAAAAAATGGGTAAAAAGGAAATGAATAGACACTTCTCAAAAGACATACGAGGGGACAACAAACATGAAAAAATGCTCATCATCACTAACCATCAGAAAAATGCAAATCAAAATCACAATGAGATATCTCACACCAGTCAGAATGGCTATTAATAAAATGGCAAAAAAAATCCCATATTGTCTACAGATTGGCGGGAAAAAGTAAAAAAATAACAGATGTTGGTGAGGTTGTGGAGCGTATGTACTGCTGGTAGGAATGTAAAGTTCAGTCATTGTAGAAAGCAGTTTGAAGATTTCTCAAAAAACATAAAACAAATCTACCTTTGACCCTGAAATCCCATTACTGGGTATATACCCAAAGGAAAATAGATCATTATACCAAAAAGACATGCATTTCATGTTTATTGCTGTACTATTCATGACAGCAGACATAGAATCAATCTAAGTGTCCATCAATGGTGGACTGGATAAAGAAAATGTGGTACGTACACACCATGGAATACTATGTACTACGCAGCCATAAAAAAGAATGAAATAATGTCCTTTGCAGCAACATGGATGGAGGTGGAGGCCTTAATACTACGCCAATTAATGTGGGAACAGTAAACCAAATAGCTCATGTTCTCATAAGTGGGGAGCTAAAAATTGAGTACACATGGACATAAACATGGGAACAATACACACTGCGGACTACTACATGGGGGAAGAAAGCAGTGAGGTGTGGGTTGAAAAACTACCTACTGCACCCTATGCTCACTACCTGGGTGCAATATACCCACGTAACCCATCCAGTAAAGAGAGAAAAAAATCAAGTTATTTTACAAATTTGAAAAAATCAATTTGGATTCAGACTTTTACACTACTACAGCCAATCTAGAAACAATGGAGCAATATTGTAAATTCCTTGGGAAAGGATGCCCAAGAATTTTATGCTGACCCAAACCGTCCTTCCAGTATGAAGGGAATAAACTGCTCAAACACACAAGAACAGAAAACACATTTTCCATGAACCCTGATTTGATTATTTTCTCATGAAGCCCAATAAAAGACGGTAAGAATCAATTTTCAAGTTTAAAGATAATTTAATGCAACCCAGAAGAACTGACCAATTTGCCTAAAACCGTAACTAAACCTTTACTAGACTAATTCTCCTGATATCAAGCTGTTGACCTCAAAATCCTTATGTAGTTGGTAACAAGAGGCTAGAGATAGTACTGGAAGAAAATAGTGAATTTAGTCTTAAAACTGAGAGTAAGGAAATAATATGTAAGATGGACACATGAGTAAATATTGTCTGTAATAAATGCATGTATTTCCATATAAATCTCCCTACCTGAGAACAGCCTCATCAAGCTCTTGTGGCCTATTAGTTGCACCCATTACAAGTACTCTGTCATCTCCAGCAGACTGTACCTACAAGCAAAAAATCTTTTTTCAATTCATTTAGAAAAGTAATAACAAATATAAAGATATTTGTATTTTTAACCTTGGCCATTTAATAGGAAAATATACTAAAATGCTGCCACATTAAAAATATCATAATCAACACTTACACCATCAAATTCTATTAGAAATTCAGTTTTTAGGCGTCTACTAGCATCGTGCTCCCCTTCTCTTCTTTCACACAAAAGGCTATCAACTTCATCTAGAGGAAATACAAGTATAAGACTTTAATTAAAGACCAAGCTATGTGAGTCATCTGAGATTAATCTAGTTTACTACTTATTAATATAGTGGGTCCTACTAAATTCATTAGATAGTCTTTAAGCTTGCCCTTCTTTAAAACTTCTTCCTTCTGAATAATGTTTCCAATCGTATCTTTCCTATTTGGAGAGGGAAATTTCACAAATAGTCAATAACTTAGTTGGAAAATATGTTCTTACCTATAAAAATTATAGAAGGTTGAAGTTCTCGAGCCACAGCAAAAAGAGCCCTCACCAATTTCTCTCCTTCTCCCACCTAAAACAAAGCATTATACTGTTATACACATAAAATGCAACATTATTCCAGTTTTTTAAATTTTATGTTGAAAATCTAGCACACAGGAATTTAATTTCCCTTCCTTAAAACAACCAAAGATTTGGTTTGAGAAAGGGGAGAGTACTACTAACCGTCCCTTACAATTTTAGACAACAGACTGTGATTTCATACAGCCTGGTTAAGTGCTTTAAAAATTCATCTGTTTTGCTTCACCCTGCATTCCTAAGACTTGAGAATGAAATAGCTCTTCAGTCAAGGATATAACTAGTGAGAAAAGGGGAAGACTAGGGGAGAGAAAAAGACATTGTACATATTCTTTAAGCCCTAGATTACACGGTATATTTATAGAAGCAAGTAAGTTGGAATGTGCTCTCCTAAACAAAACTTGCGCTATTAAGAACACCGTGAAAAGTCATTCTCACATAAATATCAAAATTTCTTTTTTTTTTTTCCTTTTTTTTTTTGAGACAGAGTTTTGCTCTATAGCCCAGTCTGGAGTGCAGTGGTGCAATCTCGGCTCACTGTGACTTTTGCCTCCTGGGTTCAAGTGATTCTCATCCCTCAACATCCCAGGTAGCTGGGATTACAGGCGCCCACCACCACGCCTGGCTAATTTTTGTATTTTTAGTAAAGATGGGGTTTTACCATATTGGTAAATTCATTAGATAGTCTTTAAGCCTGCCCTTCTTTAAAACTTCTTCCTTCTGAATAATGTTTCCAATCCTATCTTTCCTATTTGGAGAGGGAAATTTCACAAATAGTCAACTAACTTAGTTGGCCAGGCTGATCTCAAACTCCTGACCTCAAGTGATCCACCTAACTTGGCCTCCCGAGGTGCTGGAATTACAGGCATGAGCCACCGCGCCCAGCCAATAAATATCAAAATATTTCCAGATAGTCCAGAAGGTCAATGAACACCCCTTGAGACATTCCCAGGTGCTGACACCATACAAAGGCCATTTTATACACCAAAGTAATGAGTCATGAGGTCTGTGATAATCTACTGTAAAAATTTTTCTGTCCTCTAGGTGGCATTTATTCTTTTTACTGAAGATTTAACTTAAAAACAAAAGAAATGTCACCAGATTTAGAATAATCGAAACAAATATTCTAGGCCGGGCGCGGCGGCTCAGACCTGTAATCCCAGCACTTTGGGAGGCTGAGGCGGGCGGATCACGAGGTCAGGAGATCGAGACCATCCTGGCTAACACGGTGAAACCTCGTCTCTACTAAAAATACAAAAAATTAGCCAGGCGTGGTGGCAGGCGCCTGTAGTCCCAGCTACTCGGGAGGCTGAGGCAGGAGAATGGCGTGAACCCAGGAGGTGGAGCTTGCAGTGAGCCGAGATGGTACCACTGCACTCCAGCCCGGGCGACAGAGCAAGACTCCATCTCACACACACACACACACACACACACACACAAAATTATCAGAGCTGAAAGAAATCTCAAAAGATCATCTCCTATGACATTAACATTTTACAGATGAAACAGGCCTAAAGTTATACTTTCTTAAGGTCAGTTCAGGATGTAAAAGTTACGCTAGAGGCCGGGTGCGGTGGCTCATGCCTGTAATCCCAGCACTTTGGGAGGCCAAGGTGGGTGGATCACCTGAGGTCGGGAGTTCAAGACCAGCCTGGCCAACATGGTGAAACCCTGTGTCTACTAAAACTACAAAAATTAGCCGGGCGTGGTGGCGCATGCCTGTAATCCCAGCTACTCGGGAGGCTGACGTGGGAGAATTGCTTGAACCTGAGAGTTGGAGGTTGCAGTGAGCCGAGATCGCACAACTGCACTTCGGCCTGGGGCGAAAAAGTGAGACCTTGTCCCAAAAAAATAAAAAGCTAGGCTAGAATCCCTATCTCCTAACTTCCACAACAATACTTTCCATTATACCATGTGCATAATGTGGGTAAACATGCTTTAATAACAACTTGAAGACCAGGCACAGTGACTCATGCCTGTGATCCTAGCACTTTGGGAGGCCGAAATGGGAGGATCACTTGAGCCCAGAAGTTTGAGACCAGCCCTGGCAACACAGTGACACCTTGTCACTACAAAAAAAAATTTTTTTTTTTTGAGATGGAGTCTCGGCTCACTGCAATCTCTGCCTCCCAGGTTCAAGCAACTCTCCTGCCTCAGCCTCCTGAGTAAGTGGGATTACAGGCGCCTGCCACCACACCCCGCTAATTTTTTGTATTTTTAGTAGAGACAGGGTTTCACCATGTTAGCCAGGCTGGTCTCGAACTCCTGACCTTGTGATTCGCCTGCCTCGGCCTCCCAAAGTGCTGGGATTACAGGTGTGAGCCACCGCATTCGGCCCCCCAGAATTTTTTAAAATTAGCTGGGCATGGTGGCATGTGCCTATAGTCCCAGCTACTTGGGATGCTAAGGTGGGAGGATCACTTGAGCCCAGGAGGCTGAGGCTGCAGTGAGCCATGATCACGCCACTGTACTCCAGCCTGGGCGACAGAACAGACCCTGTCTTAAAAAATAAATCAATAAATAAATAGAGTAACGACTTGTAAAATTTCACATAGGAAGTAAAATGTGATCAGAAAAACAGGTACTATTTTATAGTTACTTTTAACTACTTTAGAATATTGAGAACATTTTAAGTACTATGATTTATTAAAATATTTAAAGAAACTTACAGAAGATTTTACTTAGCACAGATAATACAAGAGAAATATTACTGTCCACATGGAGACCATCTTCTAGTGGAGGTGACAGTTAATATTATTAACTTCTCTGATTTTTTTTTCCCTAGTATTTAAATCTAGCAGCATACTGATGTATTGAAGACCAAACTTTACATTTTGAAGACGGTGTGGAAAAAACACTGTAAACTGGTAAGAACTATGTGAATGTTCGTTTTTTTTTTTTTAATAATAGATAAGCAGGTTAACTGTTCGAACATATAAGAAAAATATAAAAATTAAATCTGTGTAAAAAAGCACAACTACAACTACTTGCAACAATCTGGATAAATCTCACAAATACAATGCTGATGAAAGAAGCCAAATACACATACACACAAAATCCTACATCATTAGATTTATATAAAGTTCAAAGGCATGCTAGCTTTGTCTATGATGTTAGTAGTCTAGTGGTTTTGAGGGAGAGGAGTGAGTGGATAAAGATGGTGGAGTGCCTGGAGGGATTTTAGGGCCACAGGTAACAATTTATTTCTTGACCTGGGTGGTGATTATGAAAGTATATTCGCTTTGTGGTAATCCACTGAGCTGTATACAGCTGTATACTTATGCTATAAATACTTTTCTACATGTTAGTTATTCAATAAACAAGGTTAAACAATAATACAACATGTTAAGATACATATGTAACTGATTTTTTGTGGAAAATAATCTAGATATTTTAATAACACAAATGTTGTCCATGACTATGATGCAGTTCCTCCCAAAAGCTTTCTCAGGATAGATCATGAGACACAACATCTACATAATATTACACAATGCTGCTGCTTTTTTTTTTTGAGATGGAGTTTCACTTTTGTTGCCCAGGCTGGAGTGGAATGGCGCAATCTCGGCTCACCGCAACCTCCGCCTCCTGGGCTCAAGTGATTCTCCTGCCTCAGCCTCCCGAGTAGCTGGGATTACAGGCATGTGCCACAATGCCCAGCTCATCTTTTGTATTTTTAGTAGAGATTTAGTATTTAGTATTTAGTAGAGATTTGTATTTAGTAGAGAAACATGGGGTTTCTCCATGTTAATCAGGCTGGTCTCAAACTCCTGACCTGCCCACCTCGGCCTCCCAAAGTGCTGGGATCACAGGTGTGAGCCACTGCGCCTGGCACAATGCTTCCTTTTTAAGTCTTCAAAGTCAGGTCACATCTGAGGTAAAATATTCAGTTCTTATCTAGGCATACTGACAAACTGGCATGAGACCATAGAAAGACAACTAAAATAGTAACTATTCTGGGGACTGGAGGGAAGCAGATATAACATTAAGTTCCTATATATTTGAAAGGCTGTCTCATAAAAAAAAAAAAAGATTGAGTTTTGTTAAATCAAGTATGTAAAAATTAGAAAAAGCAGATTTCAGTTAGACATAAGGAAAAAATTGTATTAGATAGAACTGACAAAATGATAGACTAGACATTTCAATTTTCTTTTTCTTTTCTTTTTTTGAGATGGGATCTCACTCTGCCACCCAGGCTGGAGTACAGTGGCATGATCTCTCGGCTCACAGCAAACTCCACCTCCCAAGCTCAAGAAATCCTCCCACTTCAGTCTCCCAAGTGGCTGGGACCACAGGCACACGCCACCACGCCCGACTAATTTTTTGTATTTCTGGTAGAGACAGGGTTTCGCCATGTTGCCCAGCCTGGTCTTGAACTCCTGAGCTCAAGTGATCCACCTGCCTTGGCCTCCCAAAGTGCTGGGATTACAGGCATGAGCCACCACACCTAGCCTCAACTTTCTTAAAAGTAAACTTACTTCAAGATATTCAGGCAGTATCAGAATTGGGGGTTAAGATCATGAATGCTATGTTGTTTCTGAAAACATGAAGATGAAACAGTACTCTTGAAAAAAGTATGGATAAAAGAGAATGGTTGCTGTAGGCCGGGTGTGGTGGCTTACGCCTATAATCCAGCACTTTGGGAGGTAGATGCGGGCGGATCACAAGGTCAGGAGATCGAGACCATCCTGGCCAACATGGTGAAACCCCGTCTCTACTAAAATACAAAAATTAGCCAAGTGTCGTGGCGGGTGCCTGTAGTCCCAGCTACTCAGCAGGCTAAGGCAGGGGGATCACTTGAACCCGGGAGGCAGAGGCTGCAGTGAGCCGAGATCACGCCACTGCACTCCAGAGCAAGACTCCATCTCAAAAAAAAAAAAAAAAAAAAAGAGAATGGTTGCTGTAATATTTTTAATGAAAGGCCACACTCACTGGAGCTCAAATCCTAGTTTCCCACTTCCTGGTTATGAGATCCTGAGCAGATCACTGAATTCTGTAATTCCCTAATTAATAAAATAGAGCTATGAGAATAATATCTATACCTCATTATGATTACTCCACAAATATTTATTCAATACCTACTCACAGCCAACTACTGAAAATTGAAGTGAAGAACACATGGTGATAGTCTCTGCCCGCATGGAGACCATCTTCTAGTGGAGGTGACAGTGATATCAGATACAATTAAAATAATCCTATCAATGAATATGAATTGCAACTCCAGTGAGTATGAAAATGAGGTGCAAGTGGTGCTAGGAGAATAATAACGGGGAATAGTTTGGAGGGTCAGGGAAGGTTGTAACATTTCAACTGGTATCTGAAGAATAAGTACAAATTAACCAGGAGAAGATAGTGTTCCTGAGAAAGGAAACTCCATGAAGAGGAATCCCATGACAGGAAAAAGCATAATAATATTTGAAGAACTGCCTAAGGAAGAGGGAGTCTTAGCAAACAGACTTCAAAAACTATGGGTCCAACACCAAGGCTATCTCTATCATAGTGATGGAGGCTACTTTAGTCCAATGCCATAACAACTATGGTCAACATGTCAAGTTTGCTTTAACTCACTGCTCATTATACAACCTTACAAATAAGTTTCCCATACATGTCTATAGGTACAGGGAGAGAACATGCTGTTCATAGCAGCTAGACAATTCTGATCTCATGTCTGTTCCGAAGACATAGATCTGCTCTTGGTGTACTGATAAAATCAAGTTTCTCTCGCTGCAAAACTGTAGACAGTAAAATTATCCTTTGAGCCTCTCATGGAAAGAGGCTATCTGGATATCATGTGGTGATCACCTCTGGATTCACCTCTGGATTTTTTTTTTTTTTTTTTTTTGAGACAGAGTCTCACTCAGTTGCCCAGGCTGGAGTGCAGTGGTGCCATCTCGGCTCACTGCAACCTCTGCCTCCTGGGTTCGAGCAATTCTCGTGTCTCAGCCTCCCGAATAGCTGGGATTACAGGCGCACACCACCAAGTCTGGCTAATTTTTGTATTTTTAGTCGAGACGGGGTTTTGCAATGTTGGCCAGGCTGGTTTTGAACTCCTGACCTCAGGTGATCTGCCAGCCTTGGCTTCCCAAAGTGCTGGGATTACAGGCGTGAGCCACCACACCTGGCCTCACCTCTGGATTTCGGTGCAACAAATGCTGACACTTCAAACTTTTACAGGTAACATGTTCTTTCATCAGAGATTCACATTTCAGTTTAAGTATGTTTGCCAAAACACTTTCAACCATAAAAGTTTGTTTTGTTTTGTTTTTGAGACGTGGTCTTGCTCTGACGCCCAGGTTGGAATGCATTGGCATGATCGTGGCTCACTGCAACCTCAACCTCCTTGACTCAAGTGATCCTCCCACCTCAGCCTCCTGATTTGCTGGGACCACGTATTCGCTGGCATGTCCAGCTAAATTTTTTATTTTTTGTAGAGATGGGGGTCTCACTATGTTGCCCAGGGTGGTATTGAACTCCTGGCCTCAAGCAATCCTCCTGCCTCAGTCTCCCAAAGTACTGGGATTACAGGAGTTAGCCACCATGCCCCCCCTTGTTTTGTTTCTTTGAGACAGGGTCTCACACTGTCACTCAGGCTGGAGTGCAGTGGCATGATCACAGTTCACTGCAGCCTCAACCTCTCAGGCTCAAGAGATCCTCTCGCCTCAGCTTCCTGAGTAGCTGGGACTACAGGTGCATGCCACCACACCTGGCTCTATTTTTTATTTTTGGAAGAGATGGGGTTTCACCATGTTGCCTAGGCTGGTCTCCAACTTCTGGGCTCAGGTGATCTTCCTGCCTCAGCCTCCCAAAATGCTAGGATTATAGGCATGGGCCACTGTGCCCGGCCAATCATAAAGGTTTTGATAAAGGCAAGCAGAGACTAAGGTATCATTGGGAGGGGGAGGGGGCAACCAAGAGAAAGGGAGAGAGGGAGAAAGACAAAGCAGTGTAAGGTTTGACAGAAACTACTTCACAGTTTTGCAATGCACCAGTTATATTTACACACTAGTTCTGCACACCAGACAAATTACTCTCTTTAAGCACTGTAGTTATGCTTGCCCTACCCCAAAACTAGACTGAACACTTCTTTGAATAATACTATAGGGTCAGCAGAGGGTGAATGGAAAAAGAAAACAAAATTATAAACAATCAAAAGAAAGCAGGGAAAATCTACTGGCCAGGTGTGGTGGCTCACACTTGTAATTCCAGCACTTTGAGAGTCCGAGGCAGGAGGATTGCTTAAGCCCAGGAATTTGAAAGTAGCCTGGCAACATAGCGAGACTGTGTCTCTATTATAAAAAAAAAAAAAAAATTAAAACAGGGAAAATCTTCTGTCATATTTTAGATCAGAATCAGAAGGCCAGAAATACTCAGTTTATGCCATCAGATCTGTGTTCCTATCTGGTGGCTCCTTGAGATAAAATCCACTTTACTTGAAGCTTAAGTGGAAAGTGATAGTATTTGTTAATGGGTTGAACTGTGTTCTCCAAAAACGTGTTGAAGTCCTATCCCTAGTACCTATGAATGTGACATTATTTGGACATAGAATTGTTGCTGATGACAAACTTAAATTGAGATCATTAGGGTGGGTCCTAATCCACAGGGGAAATTTGGACATGGTGACAGACACAGGGAGAATGCCACATAAAGATAAAGACAGAGATAGGAGGGATGCATCTACAAGCCAAGGAATACAAAAGATTGCCAGCAAGCCACCAGAAGCCAGGAGAGAGGCACACAACATACATTTTCCCTCACAGCCCTCAGGAGGAAGCAACCCTGCCAACATTTTGACTGATCTTAGACTTCTACCTTCCACAACTGTGAGACAATAAATTGCTGATGTTTAAGCCAGCCAGTTTACGGTATTTTATTACATGGCCCCAGTAAACTAATACAGTATTTGACAACACAAATGTACATAACTTTCTACTCTGAAGATAGATATTCATCATATGTAAATAATAGATACAATAGATAAGCTCCTAGAAAAATATTTTCATGAAATATTACCATTTACAGTTAACACAGTAACATTTAGACAGTAACTTAAAATACGACAATATTGGAAACAGAGCACTCACGTATTTTGAAGTTAAACT
Source organism: Homo sapiens (assembly GCF_000001405.40). Lineage (NCBI taxonomy): Eukaryota > Metazoa > Chordata > Mammalia > Primates > Hominidae > Homo > Homo sapiens. The sequence continues at coordinate 32,128,461 of NC_000002.12, read as the reverse complement.
TGCAGCACTTATATTAAAGAAGGTTGCATTCGATTCTGCAGCTACTGCTTTAGCCTTTAAAAATCACAAGAGCAAATATTAAATTAGTTCAATATATTACATTTAAAAGATAACCATATTTACCGATTTAAGTACTAGAAAAGATTCTCTAAAAATGTAAGCTATGAGGCCAGGTGTGGTGGCTCATGCCTGTAATCCCAGCACTTTCGGAGGCCGAGGCAGGCGCATCACTTGAGGCCAAGAGTTTGAGACCAGCCTGGCCAACATGGTGAAATCCCATCTCTAATAAAAATACAAAAATTAGTCAGGCGTGGTGGCGCATGCCTGTAATCCCAGCTACTCAGGAAGCTGACGTGGCAGAATTGCTTGAACCCAGAAGGAAGAGATGGTAGTGAGCCGAGATCACATCACTGCACTCCAGCTTGGGTGATAGAGTAAGACTGTCTAAAAAAAAAAATTAATAAAAAATAAAAATAAAAATGTAAGGTATAATACAATCCCCAATACATGGCAATCAATGTGTTCCTTTCTCAGTAATAAGGACAGGTTATAGGAAGAGCTGTGCTTCTTTCTACTCTCCTCCTGAGAGAGAATGAGTAGAGAGAGATTTAAAAAAAAAGAGAGACAGTGTTATTCTCCTCTCTTCTTAGATATACAAAGATAACTGCTTTGAGAAAGACAAACATCTAAGGAAAAGTTACTCTTTCCCTCTTTGTTTCTTCCATCCAGGAGGACTATGCAGAGGAAAGAGGTATCCAGAGCCTGATAAAAACTTCTGGCAAAAGAATACTTAAAAAAAAAAAAAAGCTATAACATACTGATTACTTAAATAAAGTTATTATGATAGTAGAAGCAAAAATCAGGGGTTAGAAAGATACTCAATATAGTAAGGTAAGCTCTTCCAGGTAAAAATTTAATTTACAAAAAATAATGACAATCATACTGTCAAATTTAACCAACCAAAAACACACTACTGAAGATAACGTACATGGTTTTCCATCTACTTCTACATTGAAAAGTAGCTGAAAAACTTAAAAGTGTATCAGCCAGGTGCAGTGGCTCATGCCTGTAATCCCATCACTTTAGGAGGCCCAGGTAGGAGGACTGCTTGAGGTCAGGAGTTCGACACCAGCCTGGCCAACATGGCGAAATCCTGTCTCTGCCAAAAATAAAAAACCTAGACAGGTGTGGTGGCGTGTGCCTGTAATCCCAGCTACTTGGGAGGCTGAGGCATGAAAATCGCTTGAACCCAGGAGGCGGAGGTTGCGGTGAGCCCAGATCACTCAAAACAAAACAAAACAAACAAACAAAAAAAACAAAAGTGTACAATAGCAAAAAGCAAGTCGTAAATAATAGACTCAAGGACAAGATAAAGTTTCTTTTTTTCATATTATCCCAAATATCTCAACAGAAAACTCAAATTTGAAGAGAACCCTTACCAGCATTGTCTTCCCATTCCCAGGTGGACCAAAGAGTAACAGCCCTCTGGCAGGAGCTCTAAGCCCTGTGAACAACTAAAAAATATATACTTTAGTTTACAACTATGATTCTAGAGACATTTTAAGTACTCTTTGCCATCTAAAAAGCATCCTTTTTTCAGTAGCATCTTCCCAAACAGAGCTGCCCATAGCTTTAAAGGAAACACATAATCATAAATTAATGTAATAATTAAAAACAGCTGGGTGTGGTGGCTCACACCTGTAATCCCAGACTTTAGGGGGCAAAGACAGGAGGATTACATGAGCCCAAGAGTTCAAGACCAGCTTGGGCAACATAGGGGAACTCTGCTTCTACAAAAAATTAAAAAAAAAAAAAATTAGCTGGGTGTGCTGGATCACCTGAGCTCCCAGCTATTCAGGAGGCTGAGGTGGGAGGATCACTTGAGCTTGGGAGGCCAAGGGTGCAGTGAGCTTTGATTGTGCCACTGTACTCCAGCCTGGCTGACAAAGTGAGACCCTGTCTCAAAAAAAAAAAAAAAAAAAAAAAAAAAAAGAAATAAAACCAACTCCTCGGTGGTAAAAATGAAAGCAGACTGCTTAAACAAGACATATTGAACATAGGCATGTTTCTCTACTTAGAAATCCCACCAAAAAATACTAAATGAATAAAAAATATATGAATCTTCCAAACAAAAATAGAAAAGGAGATTAACACAATGAATTCCACAAAATGGAGAACTGATAAAGTGTGGTAAATCACTTAGCAGAGCTTAAAACCTAAATGCCTACTTGTGAAGGGATACCTAAATGCAAGAAGCACGCTGACGTGAACAAAAATCCCAGGAAGGTTCAGGAATTGGATGTTATCAGGCACCACAGAAAGCAGTAGTAAGGCAGGCAGTCAAAAACAGAGGAACTGGCCGGGCACGGTGGCTTACAGTGGCTCACGCCTGTAATCCCAGCACTTTGGGAGGCCAAGGCGGGCGGATCACGAGGTCAGGAGATCGAGACCATCCTGGCTAACACGATGAAACCCCGTCTCTACTAAAAATACAAAAAAATTAGCCGGGCGTGGTGGCGGGTGCCTGTCGTCCCAGCTACTCAGGAGGCTGAGGCAGGAAAATGGCGTGAACCCGGGAGGCGGAGCGTGTATTGAGCCAAGATTGCGCCACTGCACTCCAACCCGGGCGACAGAGCAAAACTCCGTCTCAAAAACAAACAAACAAACAAACACAGGAACTGATTGAAAGTTGGTATGAGGAACTCCCCACCAAAGGCAGTCAAGCAGGTACCAATCACCACCAAAGCAGAAGGCAGGAGTTTCGTTCTCTAAAGAAATAAGTCAGAGTCTCCAGATTCAGGGACACTAGGCATGGCAGGAATCAAGGGTAGAGCTCCAGACTGAAAACATCTCACCTACACTTTAATAACAGTGAAGGTGTATGTACTTTTAAGTTGAATCATATGAAATGGCTAATATCCAACTTAAAAAAAAAAACCTGCTGGGCGCAGTGGCTCACGCCTATAATCACAGCACTTTGGGAGGCCGAGGCGGGCAGATCCCCTGAGATCAGGAGTTCAAGACCAGCCTGACCAACATGGAGAAACCCTGTCTCTACTAAAACTGCAAAATTAGCTGGGCGTGGTGGCACATGCCTGTAATCTCAGCTACTCGGGAGGTTGAGGCATGAGAATCGCTTGAACCCTGGAGGCGGAGGTTTCAGTGAGCCGAGATCGTGCCATTGTATTCCAGCCTGGGCAACAAGAGTGAAACTCCATCTCAAAAAATTAAAAATTAAAAAAAAATAAAAATAAAAATAAACTTTTTTTTTAGTGATTTTAGGTTTACAGAAAATTGAGCAGAAAGTACAGAGTTCCCATATAACCTCTCATTCCTTTCCAATTTCCCCTACTCTGAATATCTTGTATTAGTGTAGTACACTTGTTAGAACTAATGAAAAAATATTCATATATTATTATTAACTGAAGTCCATATTTTACATTAGGGTTCACTCTTATGTTTTATATTCTGTGGGTTTTGACAAAGGTATAATGACATGTATCCACCATTGGATTATCATAAAGAACAGTTTCACTGCCTTAAAAATCCACTGTGCTCCACCTATTCATCTCTCCCTGTCTCCCTTGGCAACCACTGATCTATTTACTGTTTCCATAGTTTTGCCTTTTCCAAAACATCATATAGTCAGAATCCTATAGTGTAGCCTCTTCAGACTGGCTTCTTTCATTTAGCAATATGCATTTATGGTTCCTCCATATATTTTTGTGGCTTGATAGATCATTTCTTTTTATTGCTGAATAATACTCCATTACATGATATACCAAAGTCTGTTTATCCATTCCCCTACTTATGGATGCCTTGACTGCTTCCAAGTTTTGGCAACTATGAATAATGCTGCTAGAAATATTCATGTGCAGTTTTTTTTATTGGATGTACATTTTAAACTTATTTGGGTAAATACTAAGGAGTAAGACTGCTGGACCATATGGTAAGAGTTTTGTAAGAAACTGTCAAACTGTCTTTAGTTCTGTAAAAAACTGTCCAACTACCTTCCAAAATGGTTCTACCATTTTAGATTTCCATCAGCAATGAATTAAAGTTTCTGCTGCTCCACATCCCTGCCAGAATTTGGTGTTGTCAGTGTTTTAGATTTCAGCCATTCTAATAGGGATGGCAGGGTATCTTGTTGTTGTTTTAATGCGCAATTTCCCTAACGACATGATGTTGAGCATATATTCATATGCTTGTTGTCATCTATCTATCTTCCTTGGTGAGGTGTCTGTTCAGATATTTTGCCCATTTATTAACTGGGTTGTATATTTTCTTATTGTTGAGTTTTAAAAGTTCTTTGTATATTTTGGATACTGGTCCTTCATCAGATAATGAATTTTGTAAAGTCTCCCACTCTGCTGCATGTCTTTTCATTCTCCTAACAGCATCTTACACAGAGCAGAAGTTTATAATTTAAACAAAGTTCAACATACTGATTTTTTTTTTCAAGGATCATGTTTTGGTATTGTACCTAAGAAGTCACTGCCAAACCAAAAATTTTTCTCATGTTATCCTAGATTTTCTCCTATGTTATCCTCTAGAAGTTTCAGTTCGCATGTTACATTTAGGTCTATGATCCATTTATTTTTGTGAAAGTTGTCAGGTCTGTGTCTAGATTAACTTTTTTGCATGTGGATGTCCAGTTGTCCTATACCATTTGTTGAAAAGGCTATCTTTTCTCCACTGAATTGTCTTTGTCCCTTTGCCAAAGATCAGTTGACTTTATCTGTGTGGGTTGATTTCTAGGCTCTCTGTCCAATTCTACTGATTTATTTGTCTATTCTTTTGCCAATGACATGCTGTCTTGATTAATGTAGCTTTACAGTAAGTCTTGAAATTGGGTAGTTTCAGTCCTCTGACTTTTTTCTTCTTCAATACTGTGTTGGCTGTTCTAGGTCTTTTGCCTTTTCATATAAACTTTAGTTTGCCAGTATCCACAAAATAACTGGCTGGGGTTTGACTGGGACTGCACTGAATCGATATATGAACTTGGGAAGAACTGACATCTCAATAATATTTAGTCTCCCTGTCCATTTACATGGAATATCTCTCAGTTTACTTAGATCTTTGATTTCTTTCATGAGTGCTATAATTCTTCTCATATAGATCTTCTACAACAAACTTTGTTAGAACTACACATATTTCATTTTATTAGTGTTAATATGAAAGGTATTGTGTTTTTTTTTTTGAGACGGAGTCTTGCTCTGTCCCCCAGGCTGGAGTGCAATGGCGCGATCTTGGCTCACTGCAACCTCTGCCTCCTGGGTTCAAGCGATTCTCCTGCCTCAGCCTCCTGAGTAGCTGAGATTACAGGCACCCGCCACCATGCCCAGCTAATTTTTGTATTTTTAGTAGAGATGGGGTTTCACCATATTGGTCAGGCTGGTCTTGAACCCCTGACATCAGGTGATCTGCCCACCTCGGCCTCCCAAAGTGCTGGGATTACAGGTGTGAGCCACTGCACCCAGCAGTATTGTGTTTTAATTTCAAATTCCAGTTGTTCACTGCTGGTAGATAAAAAAGCAATTGACTTTGTATATTAACTTTGTATTCTACACCTTGTCATAATCACTTATTAGTTCTAGGAGCTCTTTTTGTTGGTTCTTTGGGATTTTCTACATATGCAATCATGTTATCTGCAAACAAAGATATTCATCTATTTTTTTTTTTTAAATATAGATGGGGTTTCACTACATTGCCCAGGCTGGTGTCGAACTCCTGGACTCAAGCAATCTTCCTGCCTTGGCCTCTGAAAGTGCTGGGATTATAGGTGGGAGCCACCATGCCTATCCCTCAACTGTTTTTGACCTATAAAAACAGTAATTTCAGCCCAGGTGTGGTGGCTCATACCTGTAATCCCAGCACTTTGGGAGGCCAAGGCAGGTGGATCACCTGAGGTCAGGAGTTCGAGACTAGACTGGTCAACATGGCAAAACCCCGTCTCTACTAAAAATACAAAAATTAGCCAGGCGTGGTGGTGCATGCCTATAATCCCAGCTACTTGGGAGGCTGAGGCATGAGAATTGCTTGAACCTGGGAGGCAGAGGTTGCAGTGAGCCAAGATCATGCTAAGGCACTCCAGCCTGGGCAACAGAGTGAGACTCTGTCTCAAAACAAAACAGAAAACAAAACAAAACCTAGTAATTTCACATGGCTCAACCTAACAGAAAACAAAGTCGTCTCCTCCCACCCATTTTCTGGAACACCAATAGTCAAGCTTGTATTCTCCAAACAAGAGACTAGAAAATTCTTTTCTAGAGAAGCCAAATAACCCCAGAAAAAAAAGACTGACAGCTATAGCCATTTGGAGAAACCCAAATAAACAGTAGGCTTGCTGCTTGATCATCCTGTGATTAATGGGCTCTCACTATCAACAATTTACTTACTTACAGCACAGAGTCCTAATCAACTTTTTTATTGTTCCACGTAATATAAGTGGACAACCAGAATAACCAGACATTTGAGAGAAGCTTCCAATATGAAAAAGCTTAAGGCAAAAAGAAAAGAGGAGGAATCTTGAAGAAACAGATAATAAAGTAAACAAAAGAAAACTTGACAAAACCTCTCAGAGACATAAAAGACACTGCATCTATGAAATCAGAATAGGGCTGGGCACGGTGGCTCATGCCTGTAATCCCAGCACTCTGGGAGGCCAAAGCAGGTGGATCACCTGAGGTCAGGAGTTTGAAACCAGCCTGGCCAACATGGTGAAACTCCGTCTCTACTAAAAATACAACAATTAGCCGGGCATGGTGGTGGTGGGCACCTGTAATCCCAGCTGCTTGGGAGGCTGAGGCAGGAGAATCACTCGAACCCAGGAGGCGAAGGGCGCAGTGAGCTGAGATCGCACCACTGCACTCCAGCCTGGGTGACAGAGCAAGACTGTGTCTTAAAAAAAAAAAAAAAAAAAAAAAGTGAGAAAGATGAAACAAAAAAACTTTTTTTAAATTAAAGAATTATAGAACCTTTCTCAGAATTGAAGGATGAATATCTAGAAAGGTCCAAGAGGGGCTGGGCGCAGTGGCTCATGCCTCTAATCCCAGCACTTTGGGAGGCTGAGGAGGGCGGATCACCTGAGGTCAGGAGTTCAAGACCAGCCTGAAACCCCGTCTCTACTAAAAATACAAAAATTAGCTGGGCGTGGTGGCAGATGCCTGTAATCCCAGCTACTCGGGAGGCTGAGGCAGGAGAATCGCTTGAACCCCAGAGGTGGAGGTTGCAGTGAGCTGAGGTTGCACCACTGCACTCTAGCCTGGGTGAGAAGAGTGAGACTCCTTCCCCCCTGCCCCCACCTAAAAAAAGAAAGAAATGTACAAGAGGGAAGAAGAAAAGAAAAAGTAAATGCATCAAGCATATCATTATAAAATATCAGAAGATAAGAATAAAGAGAAGATCCAAAAAGCTTTGGGAAATAGAAATAAGAAGTCCAATGCTATCCTGATTCCTGATCTTCTGTCTCTAATACAAAGCAGCACTGGAAGCTAGAAGACAATAGATAATGCCTTCAAAATACTCATGGAAAATAGTTTCCAACTTAAATCTTGACATCCAGTCAAATTATTAATGAGAAGACAGCAGAATAAAGATATTTTCAAAACTACAGCATCTCAAAATATTCCCTCACACAACCTTTTCTCAGTTACTGAAAGATGTAGCCATCAAAATGAGAAAATAAATCATGAAAGTGGAAAATATGGAATTTAAAAGACAGGAGATACATAATAAAGAAAGGAAAAAAGGAAAAGGAAATTATGATGGTAGTGAAGACAGATTAGAGAACAACCACTTTGACACAGGCATGGAAAGCATTTGGTCTCGAATGAAAAGAAGAAGGTGGTTCCAGGAAAAGGTATTCTGGGAAAAAAAAAAAAAAAAAAGACCTGAGTTAACAGGTTTTTAGATTGGTTTGGCCATGTGGAAATTAGACTGAAATGGAACAGAAGAATTATCAATCGATAAGATGAAAATGAAGCAAATGAAAAAATAACACAATTATTTAGGGGAAAAAAAGGCTGTACAAGGAAAAAATAGTACGCTACTTGGCTTGGTAATGAATAATATTTAAAAGCACTAAATATTCACTGTACTCCAGCCTGGGTGAGAAAAAGTGGGAGGACAGGAGTAGAAGGTGTGTGGTATGATGGAGCTAAGGGTTCATTTACTATGATATGCAAGTTAATAGATTCGAAAAGGTAACAAAAATTAAGAAATGGCTTTATAAGATTATTTAAAGAGGTAAGTTCTAACATTTTTGAAAGAAGAAAGGCTTATGTTTAAGCTTATATGAAAGATAACATCATATTTGGAAATTCATGGAAATTTCTGTAATCTCAGCTACTTGGGAGGCTGAGACAGGAGGATCACTTAAGCCTAAGGCCACGCTGGAGAACACAGCGAGACTGTCTCAATCAAAAAAAAAAAAAGAAAGAAAGAAATTCATGGAAATTTTAGTAGATAGAGAAGAGCTTTTTAAAACTGGAGAACAATCACATTCTTCTATAAATCTCAAAGAATCACATTTAAGCAGCAAGAGAACAAAATAAGAAATATAAAAGCTCGAAATGATAGACAAGCTGCACAGGATACAGAAGAGATCTATGAAATAAGGACAGAAGAATATACGCTTTCTTAGTAAAATATTTGAGAAAAATATTTAGACAGATCACTGTGATATACTTTAAAATGTAGTCTTACTTTTGGGCGAGAGGAGAGGGCATGTTCTATTTTCTGCTATTTAGTTTGAGTTTTTTGTCAAAGATTAATATTGGCTACTTTCAAAAATTATGTTTAATGTTAAACTACAATTAAAAACATGGTCCTATGGGATTGAAGGAAGATGGAGAAGTTTTTCAATATCTCCTTCCAGGGCTATGGCTTCATGAATGAGCAAGATTTAAAGCACTTATTTTAAGTAATTCTGAGAACAATCTACCTCAAGTGAGTATCTTTAGTATTATCTCCTTAAAACCAGTTTTAGATGACTAATTATGATTCTGTGTTTCTACAATGAAATAAAAATTCCAGTATACTCAAGAATGCCTGCCACTCACCTTCTTGATATAATCTAACAATGTCTCTATTGTGGTCTATGCAAGCTTCCTACTACAGGGAATTAGGAATAAAGCTGATTTTTTTACACAATAGAGGCGTGTTATGGGATAAGTCTTACCCATTCATAGGCTTAACAAGATTCATTTTGTGAGTCTATTGTGAAACGCTGAGCTAGGACAATAATATTCCCTTTCTTGGAAATCTGAACTACAAGGAAAAAAAGTTCCATTTGGCAGGTGTGGTGATGTATAGACAAGTTTGTACCAGGATATAAACCTTTAGACCTGGCTCTACCACAGATCTTGCTCTTCCTTAGGTCTCAGTTTGCTAAGTTTACTAAGGTTTCTGCCCCTCCTGAGGTCAGGTTATTCAACTTTATTTGAAATAACTTGCAACTGGCATTTTTACATTATTATAGCTTCTTAATTGCACATTATGTCACTACCATGAAAATATGCCTAAATTCAAATTCACATGTTACTTATTATTTTAGATATGTTCTCTATAGGCCTGGGTAAAGCAAAAGCTGAATGACTTTTCTTGCATAGCCTAAATATTTCCTTGGTATTACCTTCACAATTTTAGATATATTTTTCTACCGTAAAAAGCATGTCCCTTAATAAATAAATGTAAGAATTAGGTGGCAGCTATAGCACTAACCAGGCAGCTCTAATCTTAGAAAGGTATTTCCTAGGTCTACCACTTAACTAAAATCTTGAGCAAGTCATTTTAGCTCTTAGGACTAGTTTCTTTATCAATGAATCGATCAGAAGACTGCTAAGATCCTTTTCAGGTCTACAATTATGTAAATCCTCTTTAAGCAAGCTTTTTTTTCAATATTTAGTCTATAGCATTTACTAATCTTATATAACTCCAGCAAAATGTTAGCTCAATACGTAAGCTACGTTTCCCAAAGTGTGACCTGAGGTGGTACATGACATAAATCCAGTTCACATAATGACAAATGCTTTCTATTTTAATAATTATCTAATTATTTTACTGGGTATTAGCGAAAACCTAACTTGCATATCAGACCAGTGATTTTATGTACTTAGAATGAGTAATAAGTAAAATAGACTTGAAAAATATTCAGTAAGTTCTAGTACAGTTGGTACTCACTTACAAGTGATAAACACCATAAAGGCAGTATGTGAATGACTCAAGACTATGGAAAAATTGAGACAGCCATAAAACCTTTGCACATTTATTTAATAATGCACCCACCACAACGTGCCACACAACTTATTTCCACTACATGTTGCAGGTAGGTCCGTAAGATTTTAATGTTAATAGTGAAATAACTGTGACCCAGAAGTGAGTCTTCAGATTTATTTTTTGCAATATTATTGGAACAGCACTAAATATACCATCTGTGAACTGGAAAAATTCAAAACGGTGCTAAGTATGGAAAGCCAAATATTTATTATCAACTGCAAGATTGCCTATCTTCCTTAATAAGTCATAAAATATGGGATGGAAGATTAGGTTTCTACCCATCATTTAATGGCTCTATCTACTTTGATGACTTAATATCCTTAAAAGTCATTCTTTTAAAAATTGTTCTTCATGCCAGGCACAGTGGCCTCTGCCTGTAATCCCAGCACTTTGGGAAGCCAAGGTGGGCGGATCATCTGAAGCCAGGAGTTTGAGACCAGCCTGGCCAAAATGGTAAAACCCTATCTCTACTAAAAACACAAAAATTAGCCAGGTGTTGGGGTGCATGCCTATAGACCCAGCTACTCAGGAGGATGAGGCATGAGAATCACTTGAACCCCAAAGGCAGAGGTTGCAGTGAGCCAACATCAAGCCACTGCACTCCAGCCTGGGTAACAGGAGCAAAATTCCATCTCAAAAAAAAAAAAAAAAAGAATTATTCTACCTGAATTCCTCTTTTCTCCAGTACAATTTCTCTCTTTTTAAAAATAATTAAAAAAAAAACTTTCCCATAAAGTACTTGTTTATTATCACTGTCACGTTGGTATTTAGCCTTCGATGGAGTTTACCACACTCTTTGAGCGGCATTTCCAAGCAATCCAATTCTGGGAAAACTCATTGTGTCAGGGGCCACTACCTGCCTGATTTCCTTCTCTTAATATTATTTATTTATTTTTATGTATTTATCTTTTTAAATTTTTATTTATTTTTTTGAGACGGAGTCTCGCTCTGTCGCCAGGCTGGAGTGCAGTGGCGTGATCTCGGCTCACTGCAACCTCCGCCTCCCGGGTTCAAGCGATTCTCCTGCCTCAGCATCCCGAGTAGCTGGGGTTACACACCACCAAGCCCAGCTAATTTTTGTAATTTTAGTAAAGACAGGGTTTCACCATATTAGCCAGGATGGTCTCAATCTCTTGACCTCGTGATCTGCCCGCCTCAGCCTCCCAAAGTGCTGGGATTACAGGCGTGAACTACCGTACCCGGCCTGTTTTGTTTTTGAGATGACATCTCGCTCTGTCACCCAGGATGGAGTGCAGTGGTGCCATCTTGGCTCACTGCAACCTCTGCCTCCTGGTTCAAGCAATTCTCCTGCCACAGCCTCCCCAGTAGTTGGGACTACAAGCGTGCGCCCCCACACTAGGCTAATTTTTGTACCTTATCTTAATTTTAAATCTCTCTCACCTTGATATCAAAATTTGGCCAGATGTAGTGACTCACACTTGTAATCCTAACACTCTGGGAGGCCGAAATGGGTGGATAACTTGACATCAGGTATGAAAGACCAGCCTGGCCAATATAGCAAAACCCCATCTCTACTAAAATTACAAAAATTAGCTGGGCATAGTGGCACATGCCTGTAATCCCAGCTACTTGGGAGGCTGAGGCAGGAGAATCACTTGAATTCTGGGACGCAGAGGTTGCAGTGAGCTAAGATCATGCCACTGCACTCCAGCCTGGGCGACACAATGAGTGAGACTCCGTCTCCAAAACAAAACAAAATTATATCATACTACCCACTTTTCCTAAAAATATAAAAGGATTGGAAATTAGGAACTCATATCCATTTTCCTATTCTATAATAACTTCTCAACATCAATTGTTAATGTTTTATCTTTTTTAAAACATTAAATCTATTGTTACCTTATATGAATTAATTATTTTAGTATAGCTCAAATATTTCTTTACTACTACTACTACTATGGATTCAGTAACAGATGGTATTATAGAAAAATGATAATATAAAGTTCTTACCTCAGGCCTCAGAGAAGGAAGAATAACAATTTCTTGCAATGCTTGTTTTGCCAAGTCTTGACCAGCTATATCATCAAATTTAACAGCTGTTCCACTAAGAAACAAGACCTCAGTTAGTTCTACGATACAAACAGGGCCCAGTTATTACAAGATGAAGCCTAAGCCCTATGACATATAGTTATTTTTAATGTTAACTGTTAAACTATAGTTAAATCAGTAAAGCAATGGTTTTCTACATTTATAATTGAAAACTATCATAAAAATTAAGTATGTAAACCAGACAAGGTATTTATTATCTATTTCACTCCTGACATGTTTTATAAGTAAAATTAAAATATAAAAACTATAAAATAAAACATTTAGATGGCAAAACTTACTTGTCCACAATTTCATTCATTATAAGGTTAGCAAGGTTGCTGTCCACATTCCTAAAATTCTTCAAGTCTTTTTTCTTACGAGTAGCAGTTGTAGGGGTAGAAGGTTTATTTGTCCTATTTGTTTTCGGAGTACCCTTAAAGGATACAAAATTTTAATATGAAAATACAACCTAACATTTACACTTTTCATAAATAAGTTAACCTTAAAGTTCACAGAATTCAAGCTTTAAAAATAGGAAAAAGGGTATAAAAATCCATAAATTGTATATTTATTTACCTGAAGGTAAAACTGTATTCACTAGAGAACTATATTTGGCATTAAGTCAGTTATAGAGGATTTTATCCAGAGATTTAGTTTTTACAAAATAAAAACAAATTTTAACCCTTGTTAGAATCATGACAAAACTCTAGGTATGTTACTGGTATAAAACATTTACAAAGATTGAAATAATTTTAAAAATAAATTTAAAATGAAATATACAGCATTATATAAAACAGACTGGGTAAGCAAAACTTGGTATTAAATGTCTAATGAGGTCCAAAAAAAGTTTTATAGCAAGTTGCCCTGTGGATTTAAAAAAAAATTAACTTTGGGCACGGTGGCTCACGCCTGTAATCCCAGTACTTTGGGAGGCTGAGGCAGGCGGATCACCTGAGGTCGGGAGTTTGAGACCAGCCTGACCAACATGGAGAAACCCCGTCTCTACTAAAAATACAAAATTAGCTCGACGTGGTGGTGCATGCCTGTAATCCCAGCTACTTGGGAGGCTGAGGCAGGAGAATCGCTTGAACCTGGGAGGCGGAGGTTGCAATGAGCCGAGATCGCGCCATTGCACTCCAGCCTGGAAAACAAGAGTCTCAAAAAAAAAAAAAAAAAATTTAACTTTATGGAAACTTATCCATTCTCTAAAGTATTATAAAGTACTTATGATCAACTTAAGCAGGAATAGTATCTTAAAAATTTTTCTATTTGCAAAAAGACAGCAATTAAAGTTACTGTCCCAGAATACCTTATGAGTGGTAGGAGCAGGACCAGATCCCTGTTTCACTCCAGAAACCATGGATAAACCACTGTAACTAGGTGCTCTATGGTGGCCTGAAAGGCCTGCAGATCCAGTTTTCATAACTGTTTTTGAACGAGGCAGTGAATTACTAGTGTGTGTTAAGGGGTCTTTTCTTTTTGGAACAGCTCCACTTTCTGACAAGGAAAAAGTAAAACCATTGTGATTAGAAAATTGTAGCTGAACATAAAGACAAGCAAACATTTGTAAAACCAAGGTAATAATATATTTTTTTAATTCAAAAATATTTCAAAATAAGATTTCAATGAGAACATGTACCAGGATCTTCATAGGGGTGGTCACTAGGTAGATAGGAATATGGTTATTAGGTTTTTTCCCCCTAACGTATAATTCTAATTTTCTCTTTTTTTGAAACCTGTGGCCTGGGCTGGAGTGCAGTGGCATGATCACAGCTCATTGTGGCCTTAATCTTCCTGGGCTCAAGTGATCCATCCTCCCACCTCAAACTCCCAAGTAGCTGGGACATCAGTTGTGCACCACCAGACCGGACTAATTAAAAATTTTTTTTATAGAAACAGGGTCTCACTCACTATGTTGCCTAGGCTGGTCTCGAACTCCTGGGCTCAGGCAATCCTCCCACCTTGGCCTCCCAAAGTGCTGGGATTACAAGAGTGAGCCATTGTGCCTGTCCCTATTCTAATTTTCTTATTAAAAACAGTATTTGTGCCTGTAATCCCAGCTACCTGGGAGGCTGAGGCAGGAGAATTGCTTGAACCACGGAGTCAGAGGTTGAAGTGAGCCGAGATCGTGCCACTGCACTCCAGCCTGGCGACAGAGAGAGATTCCATCTCAAATAAAAAAAAAAACAAAAAAACAAAAAACAGTATTTTTAAGAAGAAACTACTTCATTTTGGGGAACAGAAAGACAATATAAAAAGGTTATGAAGCGCCGGGCGCGATGGCTCACACCTGTAATCCCAGCACTTTGGGAGATCGAGGTGGACGGATCACCTGATGTCAGTAGTTCAAGACCAGGCTGGCCAACATGGTGAAACCTCGTCTCTGCTAAAAATACAAAAAATCAGTCAGACGTGGTGGTGGGGGCCTATAATCCCAGCTACTTCGGAGGCTGAGGCAGGAGAATCACTTGAACTCAGGAGGCGGAGGTTGCAGTAAGCCGAGATTGCACTACTGCACTCCAGCCTGGGTGACAGAGTGAAACTCTGTCTCAAAAAAAAAAAAAAAAAAAAAAAGTTATGAAGCAAATAAAGCTCTCAAATAAGAAACAAAATATAGTAAAGGCATTAGGGATAGGATGTACAGAGGAAAAAAAAGTAGCACTCGACTACTTTGATTCCAAACTATTATAACTATAAACACTATGAAAGTCTGTTCCCACCAAGAGGGTCTTAAAAACTAATCAATTTTAGGCCGGGTGCAGTAGCTCACGCCTGTAATCCCAGCATTTTGGGAGGCTGAGGCGGGCAGATCACCTGAGGTATGGAGTTCAAGACCAGCCTGGCCAACATGGTGAAACCCCATCTCCACTAAAAATACAAAAATAGCTGGGCGTGGTGGCACATCCCTGTAGTTCCAGCTACCCGATTGCAGTGAGCCCTGATCACACCACTGCAATCCAGCCTGGGTGACTGAGAGGGACTCTGTCTCAAAAAAAAAATAATAATAATAATCAATTTTAATTGAAAGAGTATAAAGATGTGCTTTTACATATGCTAAGTATTATATGGGCTGTATATATGCAAATGAACATTTATAGAACACCTCTGATTAAGTTGAAAAGGTTATTTGTCCAGTGTTGCTGTACTATATATATTACAGGTTTGTAAATGTTTAAATCTCACCACTCCTAAATAATATTTTTACATACTACGCAACAAACATCAGTGTTTATTTACAATGTTTACTGTGAAGACAAATGTTAAGTCAGTCAGCAAATTAGAGTGGCCAAAAAAAAAGACAAAAGCCTCAATTTTACTTTTGTAATCAAATCTCTTAATACGGTTTAAGAAAACTAAAGACTCTAAACTAGTATAGGAAATCAGCTTATTTATTTAGACAACCAGTTTACTTTTACTACAAGTTAACTATTATAAAATCAGGAAGTATAAATAAAATTCAAGTTAAAAAAAAAAACAAAATCCACATTAGGCTGGGCGTGGTGGCTTACGCCTGTAATCCCAGAACTTTCGGAGGCCAAGGTGGGCGGATCACAAGGTCAGGAGTTTGAGACAAGCCTGACCAATGTGGTGAAACCCCGTCTCTACTAAAAACACAAAAATTAGCCAGGTGTGGTGGCGTGCGCCTGTAATCTCAGCTACTCAGGAGGCTGAGGCAGGAGAATTGCTTGAACCAAGGAGGCAGAGATTGCGGTGAGCCAAGATCACTCCATTGCACTCCAGCCTGGGCAACAGAGTGAGACTCCGTCTTAGGAAAAAAAAAAAAAAAAGCCACATTCAGGATACCTTAAAACGAGGTTCTAGAATAAATAAGACCTACTACTTGATAGAGCAACAGGGCATCAATAGTCAATAATAACTTAAGGCCAGACGCAGTGGTTCATGCCTGTAATCCTAGCGCTTTGGGAGGCCAAAGCAGGTGGTCCATCTGAGGTCAGGAGTTTAAGATCAGCCTGGCCAACATGGTGAAACCCCATCTCCACTCAAAATACAAAAATTAGCCAGGCATGGTGGTGTGTGCCTGTAATCCCAGCTACTCAGGAGGCTGAGGCAGGAGAATCACTTGAACCCGGGAGATGGAGGCTCCATCTAAAAAAAAAAAAACTACTACTACTACTACTACTACTACTACTACTACTACTACTAACTTAATTATACATTTTTAAATAAATAAAAATATGTATATATATTAAAAATATATAGTTCTGAGACTTTATATATAGACATTTCCACAAGGAACAAGTATGAGAATGACAGCAGACTCTCTATCAGAAGTAACAAATGTTTGTTGGAAATGAGGTATGTCCAAAATGTTGAGGTGAGAAAAGTGACCTGTCACATTAAAATGAGGGTATTTCAGACACTGGAAAGACTAAGAGTTTAACCACAGATATTCACTAAAAGAACTACTAAAGGAGGTCTTCTAGTTAAAAAGCAAATTAAACAGAGAAAAGAGTATATACCTATAATATAAAGTTAGAGAACAAAAAAAAAGATCAGAAAACCTGTGGGGAAGAAAAACTCAAAAGGGAAAAAATATCATTAATATATAATACGTGGCTTTGGGGTAAACAATATTTTGCTAAATCATAAAAATCTTAGCTATGGTTTTTTGATATTACTAAAAATAACTATATGTATATGTAACTATATATACTCTATATACTATACAGTATACTATATATATACTCTATACACTATACAGTATACTATATATATACTCTATACGCTATACAGTATACTATATATACGCTATACACACTATACAGTATACTGTATATATACGCTATACACACTATACAGTATACTGTATATATACGCTATACACACTATATAGTATACTGTATATATACGCTATACACACTATATAGTATACTGTATATATACGCTATACACACTATATAGTATACTGTATATATACTCTATACACACTATATAGTATACTGTATATATACTCTATACACACTATATAGTATACTGTATATATACTCTATACACACTATATAGTATACTGTATATATACTCTATACACACGATATAGTATACTGTATATATACTCTATACACACGATATAGTATACTGTATATATACTCTATACACACGATATAGTATACTGTATATATACTCTATACACACGATATAGTATACTGTATATATACTCTATACACACGATATAGTATACTGTATATATACTCTATACACACGATATAGTATACTGTATATATACTCTATACACACGATATAGTATACTGTATATATACTCTATATACTATATAGTATACTGTATATATACTCTATATACTATATAGTATACTATGTATACTATACTATATATAGTATACTATGTATACTATATATACTATACTATATATACTATACAGTGTACTATATGTATACTATATAGTATACTATGTACACTATATATACAGTATATATACACTATATATACTATATATACTATACTATATATACTATATATACTACATATACTATATATACACTATATAGTATATAGTGTATATACGATATATACACTATATATATACTATATATACACACTATATAGTATATATATACTATATATACACACTATATAGTATATATATACTATATATACTATATATATAGTTACATATACATATAGTTATTTTGATATAACTAAAAATAACTATAGGTATATATAACTATATATGTATAGGGACCAGGCGCGGTGGCTCACGCCTGTAATCCCAGCACTTTGGGAGGCCGAGGCGGGTGGATCACGAGGTCAGGAGTTTGAGAACAGCCTGGCCAACATGGTGAAACCCCATTTCTACTAAAGATACAAAAAATTAGCCTGGCGTGGTGCCACGTGCCTGTAATCCCAGGTACTCGGGAGACTGAAGCAGGAGAATTGCTTGAACCTGGGAAGCAGAGGTTGCGGTAAGCCAAGATAGCACCACTGCATTCCAGCCTGGGGGACAGGGCAAGACTCCATCTCCAAAAAAAAACAAAAAAAACAAAAAAAAAAAACAAAAAAAACTATATATGTATACACACATATACAAATACATATATAACTGTATACATATAGTTTATATATACATTTACAGCTATATATACATAGTTATTTTGATATAACTAATACATATATAACTATATATGTATATACATATACATATACATATGTAACTATATATGTATATGCATATACATATGTAACTATATATGTGTATGCATATACATATGTAACTATATATGTATATGCATATAGATATGTAACTATATATGTATATGCATATACATATGTAACTATATATGTATGTGTGTATACATATGTAACTATATATGTATGTGCATATACATATATAACTATATACAGATAGCTTATACATATATAGTTATATATACATATAGTTATTTTTAGTTATATCAAAACTAAACAATATATATATTAGTTATATTAATATATGAAGAGTGACAGAAGGGAATTAAGTCTTCTTTGACCATAAGGAGTCAATGATTATCAAAAACTGATAGAAAAAAAAAAGGAATCATTATAGAAGCATTGTATTTGGAAATATAGTAGAAAGTAAGAGAAAAAAATAGCAAAAAGAGTTAAAACACTGTATATGAAACCAAACTAGGGGTGAAGGTTGCTACGTGAGAGGAAAGAAACAGAAGGGGAATATTCTTTTCTTTATAAGCCTTACAGTATTTAAAAATTAAGGCCAGGCGTGGTGGCTCACACCTGTAATCCCAGCACTTTGAGAGGCCGAGGCGGGTGGATCACCTGAAGTCAGGAGTTCGAGACCAGCCTGGCCAACATGGTGAAACCCCATCTTTACTAAAAACACAAAAATAATCTGATCATGGTGGCACACACCTCTAATTCCAGCTACCGGGGAGGCTGAGACAGGAAAATCGCTTAAACCCAGGAGGCAGAGGTTGCAGTGAGCTGAAATCGTGCCACTGCACTCCAGCCTGGGCAACAGAGCAACTCAGTCTCAAAAACTAAATAAAAATTTACTGAGGTATAATCTGCAATGAATTACATCCATTTAAAGTATACCAACAGCCAGGCATGGTGGCTCAGGCCTGTAATGCCAGCACTGTGGGAGGCCAAGGCAGGTGGATCGAGGTCAGGAGATCGAGATCATCCTGGCCAACATGGTGAAACTCTGTTTCTACTAAGAATACAAAAATCAGCTGGGTATGGTGGCACGCATCTGTAGTCCCAGCTACTCAGGAGGCTGAGGCAGGAGAATGGGTTGAACCCGGGAGGCAGAGGTTGCAGTGAGCCCAGATCGCGCCACTGCACTCCACCCTGGGCGACAGAGTGAGACTCTGTCACAAAAAAAAAAAAAAAAAAAAAAAAAGCTATACCAGCCAGGCACAGTAGCTCACACCTATAATCCCAACACTCTGGGAGTCTGAGGCGGCAGAAATGATTGAGCCCAGGAGTTTGAGACCAGACTGGCCAACATGGGGAAACCCCATCTCTACAAAAAATACAAAAATTAGCTGGCACAGTGGTGCCCACCTGTAGTCCCAACTAATTTCAGCTGTACTCCAGCCTGGGAGAAAGAGTCAGACCCTATCTCAAAAAAAAATAAATATATAAATAAAGTATACAATTTGATGAGTTTGTAAAGATGTATATAACTGTGATACACCCATTAAAATCAAAGCACAAAATGTTTCCATCACAGAAAGTAAGAGAAAAAATAGCAAAAAGAGTTAAAGC
Organism: Homo sapiens; assembly: GCF_000001405.40. Taxonomy (NCBI): domain Eukaryota; kingdom Metazoa; phylum Chordata; class Mammalia; order Primates; family Hominidae; genus Homo; species Homo sapiens. The sequence goes on along the minus strand of NC_000002.12, from coordinate 32,108,390 downwards.
ATTGTATATGAAACCAAACTACGGGTGAAAGTTGCTACGTGAGAGTCATCAATTTAGTAATTTCTACAGACCTGCATTCAAAGTCACTGAATCTTTCTTTTGCTATCTCTAATCTGCTGTTGAGGCTGTTGTCTGTAAATTTTTAATTTCAGTAACTACACTTTTCAACTTTAGAATATTATTTTTATTGTCTAGTTTATATCATCTACTTAGATTTCCTGTTTAACTGATACCATATTTTCTTTCAATTCTTTAAACATATTATAATAGCTGCTTTGAAGTCTTTGTCTGCTAAATCCAATATCTGGGCCCACTCACAGTTTCTACTGATTGCTTTTTTTTCTTGAGTAAGGGTTATACTTTACTTTTTCTTTGCCTGTCTAGTAATTTTGAGTAGAAAATTGGACAATGTATAATAGATAACACATTGTAGTAATAAGCAGACTTTGGTATGACTATTTCCCAAGAGAGGTGAAAGAACTCATCCAAGTAAAACATCACAGAATGTTCCAGAAGTGAGTGACACTAATAAACTACTAATAGGTCTGAGTGATCTACTTGGACTCACTGTGTATTAAACATCAATGCTGTGTAAATTAGCTATAAAGCCAATATGCCCTTCCAACCAGAAAACAGAAAAGAAAAGATTATGGGTTGAGTATCCCTTATGCGAAATGCTTGGGACCAGAACTGCTTAGGGTTTTTACATTTTTTTGCATTTTGCAATGTTTACATTATACTTACTGGTTCAGCATCCTTAACCCAAAAATCCAAAATGCAAAATACTCCAGTATTTCCTTTGAGCATCATGTCAGCGCTCAAAAAGTTTTGGATATTTGGCTAGGCACAGTGGCTCATGACTGTAATCCCAACACTTTGGGAGGCCAGGGCAGGTGGATCACTTAAGGTCAGGAGTCTCAGACTAGCTTGACCAACATGGTGAAACCTCATCTCTACTAAAAATACAAAAAATTAGTTGGGTGTGGTGGCAGGTGCCTGTAGTCCCAGCTACTTGGGAGGATGAAGTGGGAGAATCGCTTGAACCCACAGGGATGGGGTTAGGGGAGGCTGCGGAGGTTGCAGTGAGCCAAGATTGCGCCACCGCACTCCAGCCTGAGTGACAGAGGAAGACTTCATCTCAAAAAAAAAAGAGTCGAATTTTAGAGCATTTTGGATTTCAGATTTCATATTAGGGATATTCAACTTGTACTAGGGATATGAAATAAGACAAAGTTCAATTTTTTCAAACAGGTTGCAGGAAGAGAACATTGCTTTGGAGGGTGGAGTGGGGAATGCAGCAGGAAAACATGATGGGGTCTAGCATGTGAAATGAAATAAAAGAGAATCAAGATAACAAGGAAAGGAAAGACAGACCAACTCTTCAGGGCTGGAGAATTTTTGCTATTTATCCTAGTAGAATTACTGGGATCTCAAATACATATTTTAGAAACTTAACTATTTATATGTGATGGACTCTTACATTTCTTTGTTTTTTTTTTTTCAGTAAGTGCCTTCTGAAAATGTCAGCCCTTCACAGCCACGCTAAAAGAAACAGGCAAAATACTTATATCGATACTTGAAACAGCATTTTAAATCAGACAGAGGAAGGAATGGGAAGAGGGAAACTGCCACTGACTATACTGTAAGACCAAACCAACATAAGAAGTCCTTAGGGGAGATGTGAAGCCACAAGGGAAAGAGTTGATGACCAACTGTTTCTTCTGTCTATAGAAATCCTTTTACTCTATCTCTTCTCCACTAAAACCTTAGAAGTTTTGTATTACATATGAATGAAGAAGGCAGGGTTCCAAGATGGCCAAATAGGAACAGCTCCAGTCTGCAGCTCCCAGTGTGAGCGACACAGAAGACAGCTGATTTCTGCATTTCCAACTGAGGAACTGGGTTCATCTCACTGGGGATTGTCAGACAGTGGGTGCAGCCCACATAGTGTGAGCTGAAGGGCGGGGTATTGCCTCACCTGGGAAGCGCAAGGGGTTGGGGAATTCCCTCTCCTAGCCAAGGGAAGCCGTGACATATGGTACCTGGAAAATAGGGAGACTCCCACCCTAATACTGGGCTTTTCCAATGGTCTTAGCAAACGGCACACCAGGAGATTATATCCCATGCCTGGCTCAGAGGGTCCCATGCCAACGGAACCTCGCTCACTGCTAGCACAGCAGTCTGAGATCGAACTGCAAGGCGGCAAAGAGGCTGGAGGCGGGGGCATCTGCCATTGCTGAGGCTTGAGTGGGTAAACAAAGCAGCTAGGAAGCTTGAACTGGGTGGAGTCCACCACAGCTCAAGGAGGCCTGACTGCCTCTGTAGACTCCACCTCTGGGGACATGGGATAGCTGAACAAAAGGCAGCAGTAACTTCTACAGACTTAAAGGTCCCTGTCTGACAGCTCTAAAGAGAGTAGTAGTTCTCCCAGCATGGAGTTTGAGATCGGCGAACGGACAGACTGCCTCCTCAAGTGGGTCCCTGATCCCCAAGTAGCCTAACTGGGAGACACCTCCCCATACGGGCTGACTGACGCCTCATATACCTGGGTACCCCTGTCAGACGAAGGTTCCAGAGGAAGGATCAGACAGCAACATTTGTCGTTCTGCAACATTTGCTGTTCTGCAGCCTCCGCTGGTGATACCCAGGCAAACAGGGTCTGGAGTGGACCTCCAGCAAACTCCAACAGACCTGCAGCTGAGGGTCCTGAGTGTTAGAAGGAAAATTAACAAACAGAAAGGACATCCACACCAAAACCCCATCTGTACGTCACCATCATCAAAGACCAAAGGTAGATAAAGCCACAAAGATGGGGAGAAACCAGAGCAGAAAAGCTGAAAATTCTAAAATTCAGAGCGCCTCTTCTCCTCCAAAGGAACACAGCTCCTCACCAGCAACGGAACAAAGCTAGACAGAGAAAGACTTTGACAAGCTGACAGAAGTAGGCCTCAGACGATGGGTAATAACAAAGTTCTCCGAGCTAAAGGAGGATGTTCGAAACCATTGCAAAGAAGCTAAAAACCTTGAAAAAAGATTAGACAAATGGCTAACTAGAATAAACAGCATGGAGAAGACCTTAAATGGCCTGATGGAGCTGAAAACCATGGCACGAAAACTACGTGATGCATGCATGAGCTTCAGTAGCCGATTCGATCAAGTGGAAGAAAGGGTATCAGTGATTGAAGATCAAATGAATGAAATGAAGCCAGAAGAGAAGTTTAGAGAAAAAAGAGTAAAAGGAAACGAACAGAACCTCCAAGAAATATAGGACTATGTGAAAAGACCAAATCTATGTCTGACGGGTGTACCTGAAAGTGACGGGGAGAATGGAACCAAGTTGGAAAACACTCTGCAGGATATTATCCAGGAGAAGTTCCCCAACCTAGCAAGGCAGGCCAACATTCAAATTCAGGAAATACAGAGAATGCCACAAAGATACTACTCAAGAAGAGCAACTCCAAGACACATAATTGTCAGATTCACCAAAGTTGAAATGTAGGAAAAAATGTTAAGGGCAGCCAGAGAGAAAGGTCGGGTTACCCACAAAGGGAAGCCCATCAGACTAACAGCTGATCTCTTGGCAGAAACTCTAAAAACCAGAAGAGAGTGGGGGCCAATATTCAACATTCTTAAAGGAAAGAATTTTCAACCCAGAGTTTCATATCCAGCCAAACTAAGCTTCATAAGTGAAGGAGAAATAAAATCCTTTAAAGACAAGCAAATGCTGACAGATTTTGTAACTACCAGGCCTGCCTTACAGGAGCTCCTGAAGGAAGCACTGAACATGGAAATGAACAACCGGTACAAGCCACTGCAAAAACATGCCAAATTGTAAAGACCATCGAGGCTAGGAAGAAACTGCATCAACTAACGAGCAAAATAACCAGCTAACATCATAATGACAGGATCAAATTCAAACATAACAATATTAACCTTAAATGGAAATGGGCTAAATGCTCCAATTAAAAGACACAGACTGGCAAATTGGATAACGAGTCAAGACCCATCAGTGTGCTGTATTCAGGAAACCCATCTCACGTGCAGAGACACACATAGGCTCAAAATAAAGGGATGGAGGAAGATCTACCAAGCAAATGGAAAACAAAAAAAGCAGGGTTTGCAATCCAACTCTCTGATAAAACAGACTTTAAACCAACAAAGATCAAAAGAGACAAAGAAGGCCATCATATAATGCTAAAGGGATCAATTCAACAAGAAGAGCTAACTATCCTAAATATATATGCACCCAATACAGGAGCACCCAGATTCATAAAGCAAGTCCCTAGAGACCTACAAAGAGACTTAGACTCCCACACAATAATACTGGGAGACTTCAACACCCCACTGTCAATATTAGACAGATCAACAAGACAGATCCAGGAACTGAACTCAGCTCTGCACCAAGTGGACCTAATAGACATCTACAGAACTCTAAACCCCAAATCAACAGAATATACATTCTTCTCAGCACCACACCACACCTATTCCAAAATTGACCACATAGTTGGAACTAAAGCACTCCTCAGCAAATGTAAAAGAACAGAAATTACAACAAACTGTCTCTCAGGCCACAGTGCAATCAAACTAGAACTCAGGATTAAGAAACTCACGCAAAACCACACAACTACATGGAAACTGAACAACCTGCTCCTGAATGACTACTGGGTATATAAGAAAATGAAGGCAGAAATAAAGATGTTCTTTGAAACCAACGAGAACAAAGACACAACATATCAGAATCTTTGGGACACATTTAAAGTAGTGTGTAGAGGGAAATTTATAGCACTAAATGCCCACAAGAGAAAACAGGAAAGATCTAAAATTGACACCCTAACATCACCATTAAAAGAACTAGAGAAGCAAGAGCAAACACCTTCAAAAGCTAGCAGAAGGCAAGAAATAACTAAGATCAGAGCAGAAATGAAGGAGATAGAGACACAAAAAACCTTTCAAAAAATCAATGAATCCAGGAGCTGGTTTTTTGAAAAGATCAACAAAACTGATAGACTGCT